>NC_000023.11:58605579-58736186 GCF_000001405.40 Homo sapiens | reverse complement strand
GTAGCACTCTCAGAAAATTCTTTGTGACGATGGAGTTTAACTCAGGGAGCTGAACATTCGTTATGATGGAGCAGTTTCCAAACACACGTTTTGTAGAAAACATCATCTCTACTAAAAATACAAAAATTAGTTGGGCATGATGGTGGGCACCTGTAATCCTAGCTACTCAGAAGGCTGAGGAGGGAGAAAGAATGGCTTGGACCTGGGAGGCAGAGGTTCCAATAAGCTGAGATCTCAGCACTGCACTCCAGCCCTGGCAACAGAGCAAGACTCCGTCTCAAAAAAAAAAAAGAAAAGAAAACCGTCTGGTTTTTATATGAAGTTCTTTCCTTCACTACCACAGGCCTCAAAGCGGTCCAAATCTCCACTTGCAGATTCTACAAAAAGAGTGTTTGCAAACTGCTCTATCAAAAGGAATGTTCAACTCTGGGAGTTGAATGCAATCATCACAGAGCAGTTTCTGAGAATGCTTCTATGTCGTTTTTAGGAGAAGATATTTCCTTTTCCAACACAGTCCTCCAAGCCCGCTAAATAGCCACTTGCACATTGTAGAAAAAGTGTGTCAAAGCTGCGCTATCAAAGGGAAAGTTCAACTCTGTGAGGTGAATGCAAACATCCCAAAGAAGTTTCTGAGAATGCTTCCGTTTAGCTTTTAGGTGAAGATTATCCCGTTTCCAACGAAACCTTCAAAGAGGTCCAAATATCCCCTTGCGGATCCCACAGAAAGAGTGTTTCGAAACTGCTGTTTCAAAAGGAATCTTCAACTCTGTGAGTTGAATGCAATCATCACAAAGAAGTTTCTGACAATGCTTCTCTCTCGTCTTTCTGTGAAGATAAAGGAAAAGGCTTTCAGGCCTTTGCCACCACAGGCCTGAAAGCGCTCCAAATGTCCACTTGCAGATTCTGCGAAAAGAATATTTCAAAACTGCTCTATGAAAAGCAATGTTAAACTCTGTGGCTCGAACACAAACATCACAAAGCAGTTTCTGAGAATGCTTCAGTTTAGTTTTTCTGTGGAAATATTCCCGTTTCCAAAGAAATCTTCAAAGAGGTCCACGTATCCACTTACAGATTCTACAAAAAGACAGTTTCAAAACTGCTCCATCAAAAGGAGGGTTCAACTGTGTGACTTGAATGCAATCATCACTCAGAAGTTTCTGAGAATGCTTCTCTTTAGTTTTTACGTGAACATATACCCGTTTCGAACGAAGGCCACCCAGTGGTCCAAATATCCACTTGCAGATTCTACAGAAAGAGTGTTTCGAACCTGAACTCTCAAAGGCAGGTTCATCTCTGCGAGTTAAATGCATTCATCATGAAGAACTTTCTCAGAGTGTTTGTGTTTAGTTATGGGAAATTATTCCCGTTTCCAACGAAATCCTCAGAGAGCTCCAAATATCCACCTGCAGATTCTACCAAAAGTGTATTTGGAAACTGCTCCATCAAAAGGCATGTTCAGCTCTGTGAGTGAAACTCCATCATCACAAAGAATATTCTGAGAATGCTTCCGTTTGCCTTTTATATGAAGTTCCTTCCTATACGACCGTAGGCCTCAAAGCAGTCCAAATCTCCATTTGCAGATTCTACAAAAGAGTGATTCCAATCTGCTCTATCAATAGGATTGTTCAACTCCATGAGTTGAATGCCATCCTCACAAAGTAGTTTCTGAGAATGCTTCTATCTGGTTTTTGTGTGAAGATATTTCCTTTTCCACCACAGGCCTCAAAGCCCTCCAAACGTCCACTTGCAGATTCTCGAAAAAGAGTGTTTCATAGCTGCTCTTTCAAAAGGAAAGTTCAACTCTGGGAGTTGAATACAAACATCACAAAATAGCTTCCGAGATTGCTTCTGTTTAGTTTTTATGTGAAGATGATCCCGTTTCCAGTGAAATCTTCAAAGAGGTCCACATATCCCCTTGCAGATTCCAAAGAAAGAGGGTTTCAAAACTGCTCCATCAAAAGGATTGTTCAACTCTGTGAGTTGAATGCAGTCATCGCAGAAAACTTTCTGAGAATGCTTCTTTCTAGGTTTGATGTGAAGATATAGACGTTTCAAACGAAGGCTACAAAGTGGTCAAAATATACACTTGCAGATTCTACTACAAGGGTGTTGCAAACCTGAACTATCAAAGGAAGGTTCAACTCTGTGAGTTGAATACAAACATCACAAAGAATGTTCTGAGTTTGCTTCCGTTCAGTTATGGGAAGTTGATCCCGTTTCCAACGAAATCCTCAGAGAGGTCCAAATATCCCCTTGCAGATTCTACAAAACGTGTGTTTGGAAACTGCTCCATCATAACGAATGTTCAGCTCCCTGAGTTAAACTCCATCGTCACAAAGAATTTTCTGAGAGTGCTACCGTCTGGTTTTTATATGAAGTTCTTTCCTTCACTACCACAGGCCTCAAAGCGGTCCAAATCTCCACTTGCAGATTCTACAAAAAGAGTGTTTGCAAACTGCTCTATCAAAAGGAATGTTCAACTCTGGGAGTTGAATGCAATCATCACAGAGCAGTTTCTGAGAATGCTTCTATGTCGTTTTTAGGAGAAGATATTTCCTTTTCCAACACAGTCCTCCAAGCCCGCTAAATAGCCACTTGCACATTGTAGAAAAAGTGTGTCAAAGCTGCGCTATCAAAGGGAAAGTTCAACTCTGTGAGGTGAATGCAAACATCCCAAAGAAGTTTCTGAGAATGCTTCCGTTTAGCTTTTAGGTGAAGATTATCCCGTTTCCAACGAAACCTTCAAAGAGGTCCAAATATCCCCTTGCGGATCCCACAGAAAGAGTGTTTCGAAACTGCTGTTTCAAAAGGAATCTTCAACTCTGTGAGTTGAATGCAATCATCACAAAGAAGTTTCTGACAATGCTTCTCTCTCGTCTTTCTGTGAAGATAAAGGAAAAGGCTTTCAGGCCTTTTCCACCACAGGCCTGAAAGCGCTCCAAATGTCCACTTGCAGATTCTGCCAAAAGAATATTTCAAAACTGCTCTATGAAAAGCAATGTTAAACTCTGTGGCTCGAACACAAACATCACAAAGCAGTTTCTGAGAATGCTTCAGTTTAGTTTTTCTGTGGAAATATTCCCGTTTCCAAAGAAATCTTCAAAGAGGTCCACGTATCCACTTACAGATTCTACAAAAAGACAGTTTCAAAACTGCTCCATCAAAAGGAGGGTTCAACTGTGTGACTTGAATGCAATCATCACTCAGAAGTTTCTGAGAATGCTTCTCTTTAGTTTTTACGTGAACATATACCCGTTTCGAACGAAGGCCAGCCAGTGGTCCAAATATCCACTTGCAGATTCTACAGAAAGAGTGTTTCGAACCTGAACTCTCAAAGGCAGGTTCATCTCTGCGAGTTAAATGCATTCATCATGAAGAACTTTCTCAGAGTGTTTGTGTTTAGTTATGGGAAATTATTCCCGTTTCCAACGAAATCCTCAGAGAGCTCCAAATATCCACCTGCAGATTCTACCAAAAGTGTATTTGGAAACTGCTCCATCAAAAGGCATGTTCAGCTCTGTCAGTGAAACTCCATCATCACAAAGAATATTCTGAGAATGCTTCCGTTTGCCTTTTATATGAAGTTCCTTCCTGTACTACCGTAGGCCTCAAAGCAGTCCAAATCTCCATTTGCAGATTCTACAAAAAGAGTGATTCCAATCTGCTCTATCAATAGGATTGTTCAACTCCATGAGTTGAATGCCATCCTCACAAAGTCGTTTCTGAGAATGCTTCTATCTGGTTTTTGTGTGAAGATATTTCCTTTTCCACCACAGGCCTCAAAGCCCTCCAAACGTCCACTTGCAGATTCTCGAAAAAGAGTGTTTCATAGCTGCTCTTTCAAAAGGAAAGTTCAACTCTGGGAGTTGAATACAAACATCACAAAATAGTTTCCGAGAATGCTTCTGTTTAGTTTTTATGTGAAGATGATCCCGTTTCCAGTGAAATCTTCAAAGAGGTCCACATATCCCCTTGCAGATTCCAAAGAAAGAGGGTTTAAAAACTGCTCCATCAGAAGGATTGTTCAACTCTGTGAGTTGAATGCAGTCATCGCAGAAAACTTTCTGAGAATGCTTCTGTCTAGGTTTGATGTGAAGATATAGACGTTTCAAACGAAGGCTACAAAGTGGTCAAAATATACACTTGCAGATTCTACTACAAGGGTGTTGCAAACCTGAACTATCAAAGGAAGGTTCAACTCTGTGAATTGAATACAAACATCACAAAGAATGTTCTGAGTTTGCTTCCGTTCAGTTATGGGAAGTTGATCCCGTTTCCAACGAAATCCTCAGAGAGGTCCAAATATCCCCTCGCAGATTCTACAAAACGTGTGTTTGGAAACTGCTCCATCAAAACGAATGTTCAGCTCCCTGAGTTAAACTCCATCGTCACAAAGAATTTTCTGAGAGTGCTACCGTCTGGTTTTTATATGAAGTTCTTTCCTTCACTACCACAGGCCTCAAAGCGGTCCAAATCTCCACTTGCAGATTCTACAAAAAGAGTGTTTGCAAACTGCTCTATCAAAAGGAATGTTCAACTCTGGGAGTTGAATGCAATCATCACAGAGCAGTTTCTGAGAATGCTTCTATGTCGTTTTTAGGAGAAGATATTTCCTTTTCCAACACAGTCCTCCAAGCCCACTAAATAGCCACTTGCACATTGTAGAAAAAGTGTGTCAAAGCTGCGCTATCAAAGGGAAAGTTCAACTCTGTGAGGTGAATGCAAACATCCCAAAGAAGTTTCTGAGAATGCTTCCGTTTAGCTTTTAGGTGAAGATTATCCCGTTTCCAACGAAACCTTCAAAGAGGTCCAAATATCCCCTTGCGGATCCCACAGAAAGAGTGTTTCAAAACTGCTGTTTCAAAAGGAATCTTCAACTCTGTGAGTTGAATGCAATCATCACAAAGAAGTTTCTGACAATGCTTCTCTCTCGTCTTTCTGTGAAGATAAAGGAAAAGGCTTTCAGGCCTTTTCCACCACAGGCCTGAAAGCGCTCCAAATGTCCACTTGCAGATTCTGCGAAAAGAATATTTCAAAACTGCTCTATGAAAAGCAATGTTAAACTCTGTGGCTGGAACACAAACATCACAAAGCGGTTTCTGAGAATGTTTCAGTTTAGATTTCTGTGGAAATATTCCCGTTTCCAAAGAAATCTTCAAAGAGGTCCACGTATCCACTTACAGATTCTACAAAAAGACAGTTTCAAAACTGCTCCATCAAAAGGAGGGTTCAACTGTGTGACTTGAATGCAATCATCACTCAGAAGTTTCTGAGAATGCTTCTCTTTAGTTTTTACGTGAACATATACCCGTTTCGAACGAAGGCCACCCAGTGGTCCAAATATCCACTTGCAGATTCTACAGAAAGAGTGTTTCGAACCTGAACTCTCAAAGGCAGGTTCATCTCTGCGAGTTAAATGCATTCATCATGAAGAACTTTCTCAGAGTGTTTGTGTTTAGTTATGGGAAATTATTCCCGTTTCCAACGAAATCCTCAGGGAGCTCCAAATATCCACCTGCAGATTCTACCAAAAGTGTATTTGGAAACTGCTCCATCAAAAGGCATGTTCAGCTCTGTGAGTGAAACTCCATCATCACAAAGAATATTCTGAGAATGCTTCCGTTTGCCTTTTATATGAACTTCATTCCTGTACTACCGTAGGCCTCAAAGCAGTCCAAATCTCCATTTGCAGATTCTACAAAAAGAGTGATTCCAATCTGCTCTATCAATAGGATTGTTCAACTCCATGAGTTGAATGCCATCCTCACAAAGTAGTTTCTGAGAATGCTTCTATCTGGTTTTTGTGTGAAGATATTTCCTTTTCCACCACAGGCCTCAAAGCCCTCCAAACGTCCACTTGCAGATTCTCGAAAAAGAGTGTTTCATAGCTGCTCTTTCAAAAGGAAAGTTCAACTCTGGGAGTTGAATACAAACAACACAAAATAGTTTCCGAGAATGCTTCTGTTTAGTTTTTATGTGAAGATGATCCCGTTTCCAGTGAAATCTTCAAAGAGGTCCACATATCCCCTTGCAGATTCCAAAGAAAGAGGGTTTCAAAACTGCTCCATCAAAAGGATTGTTCAACTCTGTGAGTTGAATGCAGTCATCGCAGAAAACTTTCTGAGAATGCTTCTGTCTAGGTTTGATGTGAAGATATAGACGTTTCAAACGAAAGCTACAAAGTGGTCAAAATATACACTTGCAGATTCTACTACAAGGGTGTTGCAAACCTGAACTATCAAAGGAAGGTTCAACTCTGTGAGTTGAATACAAACATCACAAAGAATGTTCTGAGTTTGCTTCCGTTCAGTTATGGGAAGTTGATCCCGTTTCCAACGAAATCCTCAGAGAGGTCCAAATATCCCCTCGCAGATTCTACAAAACGTGTGTTTGGAAACTGCTCCATCATAACGAATGTTCAGCTCCCTGAGTTAAACTCCATCGTCACAAAGAATTTTCTGAGAGTGCTACCGTCTGGTTTTTATATGAAGTTCTTTCCTTCACTACCACAGGCCTCAAAGCGGTCCAAATCTCCACTTGCAGATTCTACAAAAAGAGTGTTTGCAAACTGCTCTATCAAAAGGAATGTTCAACTCTGGGAGTTGAATGCAATCATCACAGAGCAGTTTCTGAGAATGCTTCTATGTCGTTTTTAGGAGAAGATATTTCCTTTTCCAACACAGTCCTCCAAGCCCGCTAAATAGCCACTTGCACATTGTAGAAAAAGTGTGTCAAAGCTGCGCTATCAAAGGGAAAGTTCAACTCTGTGAGGTGAATGCAAACATCCCAAAGAAGTTTCTGAGAATGCTTCCGTTTAGCTTTTAGGTGAAGATTATCCCGTTTCCAACGAAACCTTCAAAGAGGTCCAAATATCCCCTTGCGGATCCCACAGAAAGAGTGTTTCGAAACTGCTGTTTCAAAAGGAATCTTCAACTCTGTGAGTTGAATGCAATCATCAAAAAGAAGTTTCTGACAATGCTTCTCTCTCGTCTTTCTGTGAAGATAAAGGAAAAGGCTTTCAGGCCTTTGCCACCACAGGCCTGAAAGCGCTCCAAATGTCCACTTGCAGATTCTGCGAAAAGAATATTTCAAAACTGCTCTATGAAAAGCAATGTTAAACTCTGTGGCTCGAACACAAACATCACAAAGCGGTTTCTGAGAATGCTTCAGTTTAGTTTTTCTGTGGAAATATTCCCGTTTCCAAAGAAATCTTCAAAGAGGTCCACGTATCCACTTACAGATTCTACAAAAAGACAGTTTCAAAACTGCTCCATCAAAAGGAGGGTTCAACTGTGTGACTTGAATGCAATCATCACTCAGAAGTTTCTGAGAATGCTTCTCTTTAGTTTTTACGTGAACATATACCCGTTTCGAACGAAGGCCACCCAGTGGTCCAAATATCCACTTGCAGATTCTACAGAAAGAGTGTTTCGAACCTGAACTCTCAAAGGCAGGTTCATCTCTGCGAGTTAAATGCATTCATCATGAAGAACTTTCTCAGAGTGTTTGTGTTTAGTTATGGGAAATTATTCCCGTTTCCAACGAAATCCTCAGAGAGCTCCAAATATCCACCTGCAGATTCTACCAAAAGTGTATTTGGAAACTGCTCCATCAACAGGCATGTTCAGCTCTGTGAGTGAAACTCCATCATCACAAAGAATATTCTGAGAATGCTTCCGTTTGCCTTTTATCTGAAGTTCCTTCCTATACGACCGTAGGCCTCAAAGCAGTCCAAATCTCCATTTGCAGATTCTACAAAAAGAGTGATTCCAATCTGCTCTATCAATAGGATTGTTCAACTCCATGAGTTGAATGCCATCCTCACAAAGTCGTTTCTGAGAATGCTTCTATCTAGTTTTTATGTGAAGATATTAACTTTTCCACCACAGGCCTCAAAGCCCTCCAAACGTCCACTTGCAGATTCTCGAAAAGGAGTGTTTCATAGCTGCTCTTTCAAAAGGAAAGTTCAACTCTGGGAGTTGAATACAAACATCACAAAGTAGTTTCCGAGAATGTTTCTGTTTAGTTTTTATGTGAAGATGATCCCGTTTCCAGTGAAATCTTCAAAGAGGTCCACATATCCCCTTGCAGATTCCAAAGAAAGAGGGTTTCAAAACTGCTCCATCAGAAGGATTGTTCAACTCTGTGAGTTGAATGCAGTCATCGCAGAAAACTTTCTGAGAATGCTTCTGTCTAGGTTTGATGTGAAGATATAGACGTTTCAAACGAAGGCTACAAAGTGGTCAAAATATACACTTGCAGATTCTACTACAAGGGTGTTGCAAACCTGAACTATCAAAGCAAGGTTCAACTCTGTGAGTTGAATACAAACATCACAAAGAATGTTCTGAGTTTGCTTCCGTTCAGTTATGGGAAGTTGATCCCGTTTCCAACGAAATCCTCAGAGAGGTCCAAATATCCCCTTGCAGATTCTACAAAATGTGTGTTTGGAAACTGCTCCATCATAACGAATGTTCAGCTCCCTGAGTTAAACTCCATCGTCACAAAGAATTTTCTGAGAGTGCTACCGTCTGGTTTTTATATGAAGCTCTTTCCTTCACTACCACAGACCTCAAAGCGGTCCAAATCTCCACTTGCAGATTCTACAAAAAGAGTGTTTGCAAACTGCTCTATCAAAAGGAATGTTCAACTCTGGGAGTTGAATGCAATCATCACAGAGCAGTTTCTGAGAATGCTTCTATGTCGTTTTTAGGAGAAGATATTTCCTTTTCCAACACAGTCCTCCAAGCCCGCTAAATAGCCACTTGCACATTGTAGAAAAAGTGTGTCAAAGCTGCGCTATCAAAGGGAAAGTTCAACTCTGTGAGGTGAATGCAAACATCCCAAAGAAGTTTCTGAGAATGCTTCCGTTTAGGTTTTAGGTGAAGATTATCCCGTTTCCAACGAAACCTTCAAAGAGGTCCAAATATCCCCTTGCGGATCCCACAGAAAGAGTGTTTCGAAACTGCTGTTTCAAAAGGAATCTTCAACTCTGTGAGTTGAATGCAATCATCACAAAGAAGTTTCTGACAATGCTTCTCTCTCGTCTTTCTGTGAAGATAAAGGAAAAGGCTTTCAGGCCTTTTCCACCACAGGCCTGAAAGCGCTCCAAATGTCCACTTGCAGATTCTGCCAAAAGAATATTTCAAAACTGCTCTATGAAAAGCAATGTTAAACTCTGTGGCTCGAACACAAACATCACAAAGCGGTTTCTGAGAATGCTTCAGTTTAGTTTTTCTGTGGAAATATTCCCGTTTCCAAAGAAATCTTCAAAGAGGTCCACGTATCCACTTACAGATTCTACAAAAAGACAGTTTCAAAACTGCTCCATCAAAAGGAGGGTTCAACTGTGTGACTTGAATGCAATCATCACTCAGAAGTTTCTGAGAATGCTTCTCTTTAGTTTTTACGTGAACATATACCCGTTTCGAACGAAGGCCACCCAGTGGTCCAAATATCCACTTGCAGATTCTACAGAAAGAGTGTTTCGAACCTGAACTCTCAAAGGCAGGTTCATCTCTGCGAGTTAAATGCATTCATCATGAAGAACTTTCTCAGAGTGTTTGTGTTTAGTTATGGGAAATTATTCCCGTTTCCAACGAAATCCTCAGAGAGCTCCAAATATCCACCTGCAGATTCTACCAAAAGTGTATTTGGAAACTGCTCCATCAAAAGGCATGTTCAGCTCTGTGAGTGAAACTCCATCATCACAAAGAATATTCTGAGAATGCTTCCGTTTGCCTTTTATATGAAGTTCCTTCCTATACGACCGTAGGCCTCAAAGCAGTCCAAATCTCCATTTGCAGATTCTACAAAAAGAGTGATTCCAATCTGCTCTATCAATAGGATTGTTCAACTCCATGAGTTGAATGCCATCCTCACAAAGTCGTTTCTGAGAATGCTTCTATCTAGTTTTTACGTGAAGATATTTCCTTTTCCAGCACAGGCCTCAAAGCCCTCCAAACGTCCACTTGCAGATTCTCGAAAAAGAGTGTTTCATAGCTGCTCTTTCAAAAGGAAAGTTCAACTCTGGGAGTTGAATACAAACATCACAAAGTAGTTTCCGAGAATGCTTCTGTTTAGTTTTTATGTGAAGATGATCCCGTTTCCAGTGAAATCTTCAAAGAGGTCCACATATCCCCTTGCAGATTCCAAAGAAAGAGGGTTTCAAAACTGCTCCATCAGAAGGATTGTTCAACTCTGTGAGTTGAATGCAGTCATCGCAGAAAACTTTCTGAGAATGCTTCTGTCTAGGTTTGATGTGAAGATATAGACGTTTCAAACGAAGGCTACAAAGTGGTCAAAATATACACTTGCAGATTCTACTACAAGGGTGTTGCAAACCTGAACTATCAAAGGAAGGTTCAACTCTGTGAGTTGAATACAAACATCACAAAGAATGTTCTGAGTTTGCTTCCGTTCAGTTATGGGAAGTTGATCCCGTTTCCAACGAAATCCTCAGAGAGGTCCAAATATCCCCTTGCAGATTCTACAAAACGTGTGTTTGGAAACTGCTCCATCATAACGAATGTTCAGCTCCCTGAGTTAAACTCCATCGTCACAAAGAATTTTCTGAGAGTGCTACCGTCTGGTTTTTATATGAAGTTCTTTCCTTCACTACCACAGGCCTCAAAGCGGTCCAAATCTCCACTTGCAGATTCTACAAAAAGAGTGTGTGCAAACTGCTCTATCAAAAGGAATGTTCAACTCTGGGAGTTGAATGCAATCATCACAGAGCAGTTTCTGAGAATGCTTCTATGTCGTTTTTAGGAGAAGATATTTCCTTTTCCAACACAGTCCTCCAAGCCCGCTAAATAGCCACTTGCACATTGTAGAAAAAGTGTGTCAAAGCTGCGCTATCAAAGGGAAAGTTCAACTCTGTGAGGTGAATGCAAACATCCCAAAGAAGTTTCTGAGAATGCTTCCGTTTAGCTTTTAGGTGAAGATTATCCCGTTTCCAACGAAACCTTCAAAGAGGTCCAAATATCCCCTTGCGGATCCCACAGAAAGAGTGTTTCGAAACTGCTGTTTCAAAAGGAATCTTCAACTCTGTGAGTTGAATGCAATCATCACAAAGAAGTTTCTGACAATGCTTCTCTCTCGTCTTTCTGTGAAGATAAAGGAAAAGGCTTTCAGGCCTTTTCCACCACAGGCCTGAAAGCGCTCCAAATGTCCACTTGCAGATTCTGCCAAAAGAATATTTCAAAACTGCTCTATGAAAAGCAATGTTAAACTCTGCGGCTCGAACACAAACATCACAAAGCGGTTTCTGAGAATGCTTCAGTTTAGTTTTTCTGTGGAAATATTCCCGTTTCCAAAGAAATCTTCAAAGAGGTCCACGTATCCACTTACAGATTCTACAAAAAGACAGTTTCAAAACTGCTCCATCAAAAGGAGGGTTCAACTGTGTGACTTGAATGCAATCATCACTCAGAAGTTTCTGAGAATGCTTCTCTTTAGTTTTTACGTGAACATATACCCGTTTCGAACGAAGGTCAGCCAGTGGTCCAAATATCCACTTGCAGATTCTACAGAAAGAGTGTTTCGAACCTGAACTCTCAAAGGCAGGTTCATCTCTGCGAGTTAAATGCATTCATCATGAAGAACTTTCTCAGCGTGTTTGTGTTTAGTTATGGGAAATTATTCCCGTTTCCAACGAAATCCTCAAAGAGCTCCAAATATCCACCTGCAGATTCTACCAAAAGTGTATTTGGAAACTGCTCCATCAAAAGGCATGTTCAGCTCTGTGAGTGAAACTCCATCATCACAAAGAATATTCTGAGAATGCTTCCGTTTGCCTTTTATATGAAGTTCCTTCCTATACGACCGTAGGCCTCAAAGCAGTCCAAATCTCCATTTGCAGATTCTACAAAAAGAGTGATTCCAATCTGCTCTATCAATAGGATTGTTCAACTCCATGAGTTGAATGCCATCCTCACAAAGTAGTTTCTGAGAATGCTTCTATCTAGTTTTTATGTGAAGATATTTCCTTTTCCACCACAGGCCTCAAAGCCCTCCAAACGTCCACTTGCAGATTCTCGAAAAAGAGTGTTTCATAGCTGCTCTTTCAAAAGGAAAGTTCACCTCTGGCAGTTGAATACAAACATCACAAAGTAGTTTCCGAGAATGCTTCTGTTTAGTTTTTATGTGAAGATGATCCGGTTTCCAGTGAAATCTTCAAAGAGGTCCACATATCCCCTTGCAGATTCCAAAGAAAGAGGGTTTCAAAACTGCTCCATCAGAAGGATTGTTCAACTCTGTGAGTTGAATGCAGTCATCGCAGAAAACTTTCTGAGAATGCTTCTGTCTAGGTTTGATGTGAAGATATAGACGTTTCAAACGAAGGCTACAAAGTGGTCAAAATATACACTTGCAGATTCTACTACAAGGGTGTTGCAAACCTGAACTATCAAAGGAAGGTTCAACTCTGTGAGTTGAATACAAACATCACAAAGAATGTTCTGAGTTTGCTTCCGTTCAGTTATGGGAAGTTGATCCCGTTTCCAACGAAATCCTCAGAGAGGTCCAAATATCCCCTTGCAGATTCTACAAAACGTGTGTTTGGAAACTGCTCCATCATAACGAATGTTCAGCTCCCTGAGTTAAACTCCATCGTCACAAAGAATTTTCTGAGAGTGCTACCGTCTGGTTTTTATATGAAGTTCTTTCCTTCACTACCACAGGCCTCAAAGCGGTCCAAATCTCCACTTGCAGATTCTACAAAAAGAGTGTTTGCAAACTGCTCTATCAAAAGGAATGTTCAACTCTGGGAGTTGAATGCAATCATCACAGAGCAGTTTCTGAGAATGCTTCTATGTCGTTTTTAGGAGAAGATATTTCCTTTTCCAACACAATCCTCCAAGCCCGCTAAATAGCCACTTGCACATTGTAGAAAAAGTGTGTCAAAGCTGCGCTATCAAAGGGAAAGTTCAACTCTGTGAGGTGAATGCAAACATCCCAAAGAAGTTTCTGAGAATGCTTCCGTTTAGCTTTTAGGTGAAGATTATCCCGTTTCCAACGAAACCTTCAAAGAGGTCCAAATATCCCCTTGCGGATCCCACAGAAAGAGTGTTTCGAAACTGCTGTTTCAAAAGGAATCTTCAACTCTGTGAGTTGAATGCAATCATCACAAAGAAGTTTCTGACAATGCTTCTCTCTCGTCTTTCTGTGAAGATAAAGGAAAAGGCTTTCAGGCCTTTTCCACCACAGGCCTGAAAGCGCTCCAAATGTCCACTTGCAGATTCTGCCAAAAGAATATTTCAAAACTGCTCTATGAAAAGCAATGTTAAACTCTGTGGCTGGAACACAAACATCACAAAGCGGTTTCTGAGAATGTTTCAGTTTAGTTTTTCTGTGGAAATATTCCCGTTTCCAAAGAAATCTTCAAAGAGGTCCACGTATGCACTTACAGATTCTACAAAAAGACAGTTTCAAAACTGCTCCATCAAAAGGAGGGTTCAACTGTGTGACTTGAATGCAATCATCACTCAGAAGTTTCTGAGAATGCTTCTCTTTAGTTTTTACGTGAACATATACCCGTTTCGAACGAAGGCCACCCAGTGGTCCAAATATCCACTTGCAGATTCTACAGAAAGAGTGTTTCGAACCTGAACTCTCAAAGGCAGGTTCATCTCTGTTAGTTAAATGCATTCATCATGAAGAACTTTCTCAGAGTGTTTGTGTTTAGTTATGGGAAATTATTCCCGTTTCCAACGAAATCCTCAGAGAGCTCCAAATATCCACCTGCAGATTCTACCAAAAGTGTATTTGGAAACTGCTCCATCAAAAGGCATGTTCAGCTCTGTGAGTGAAACTCCATCATCACAAAGAATATTCTGAGAATGCTTCCGTTTGCCTTTTATCTGAAGTTCCTTCCTATACGACCGTAGGCCTCAATGCAGTCCAAATCTCCATTTGCAGATTCTACAAAAAGAGTGATTCCAATCTGCTCTATCAATAGGATTGTTCAACTCCATGAGTTGAATGCCATCCTCACAAAGTCGTTTCTGAGAATGCTTCTATCTAGTTTTTATGTGAAGATATTTCCT
This sequence comes from Homo sapiens, assembly GCF_000001405.40. NCBI lineage: Eukaryota > Metazoa > Chordata > Mammalia > Primates > Hominidae > Homo > Homo sapiens. The sequence continues at coordinate 58,722,138 of NC_000023.11, read as the reverse complement.
TTTCCACCACAGGCCTCAAAGCCCTCCAAACGTCCACTTGCAGATTCTCGAAAAAGAGTGTTTCATAGCTGCTCTTTCAAAAGGAAAGTTCAACTCTGGGAGTTGAATACAAACATCACAAAGTAGTTTCCGAGAATGCTTCTGTTTAGTTTTTATGTGAAGATGATCCCGTTTCCAGTGAAATCTTCAAAGAGGTCCACATATCCCCTTGCAGATTCCAAAGAAAGAGGGTTTCAAAACTGCTCCATCAGAAGGATTGTTCAACTCTGTGAGTTGAATGCAGTCATCGCAGAAAACTTTCTGAGAATGCTTCTGTCTAGGTTTGATGTGAAGATATAGACGTTTCAAACGAAGGCTACAAAGTGGTCAAAATATACACTTGCAGATTCTACTACAAGGGTGTTGCAAACCTGAACTATCAAAGGAAGGTTCAACTCTGTGAGTTGAATACAAACATCACAAAGAATGTTCTGAGTTTGCTTCCGTTCAGTTATGGGAAGTTGATCCCGTTTCCAACGAAATCCTCAGAGAGGTCCAAATATCCCCTTGCAGATTCTACAAAACGTGTGTTTGGAAACTGCTCCATCATAACGAATGTTCAGCTCCCTGAGTTAAACTCCATCGTCACAAAGAATTTTCTGAGAGTGCTACCGTCTGGTTTTTATATGAAGCTCTTTCCTTCACTACCACAGGCCTCAAAGCGATCCAAATCTCCACTTGCAGATTCTACAAAAAGAGTGTTTGCAAACTGCTCTATCAAAAGGAATGTTCAACTCTGGGAGTTGAATGCAATCATCACAGAGCAGTTTCTGAGAATGCTTCTATGTCGTTTTTAGGAGAAGATATTACCTTTTCCAACACAGTCCTCCTAGCCCGCTAAATAGCCACTTGCACATTGTAGAAAAAGTGTGTCAAAGCTGCGCTATCAAAGGGAAAGTTCAACTCTGTGAGGTGAATGCAAACATCCCAAAGAAGTTTCTGAGAATGCTTCCGTTTAGCTTTTAGGTGAAGATTATCCCGTTTCCAACGAAACCTTCAAAGAGGTCCAAATATCCCCTTGCGGATCCCACAGAAAGAGTGTTTCGAAACTGCTGTTTCAAAAGGAATCTTCAACTCTGTGAGTTGAATGCAATCATCACAAAGAAGTTTCTGACAATGCTTCTCTCTCGTCTTTCTGTGAAGATAAAGGAAAAGGCTTTCAGGCCTTTTCCACCACAGGCCTGAAAGCGCTCCAAATGTCCACTTGCAGATTCTGTGAAAAGAATATTTCAAAACTGCTCTATGAAAAGCAATGTTAAACTCTGTGGCTCGAACACAAACATCACAAAGCAGTTTCTGAGAATGCTTCAGTTTAGTTTTTCCGTGGAAATATTCCCGTTTCCAAAGAAATCTTCAAAGAGGTCCACGTATCCACTTACAGATTCTACAAAAAGACAGTTTCAAAACTGCTCCATCAAAAGGAGGGTTCAACTATGTGACTTGAATGCAATCATCACTCAGAAGTTTCTGAGAATGCTTCTTTTTAGTTTTTATGTGAACATATACCCGTTTCGAACGAAGGCCACCCAGTGGTCCAAATATCCACTTGCAGATTCTACAGAAAGAGTGTTTCGAACCTGAACTCTCAAAGGCAGGTTCATCTCTGCGAGTTAAATGCATTCATCATGAAGAACTTTCTCAGAGTGTTTGTGTTTAGTTATGGGAAATTATTCCCGTTTCCAACGAAATCCTCAGAGAGCTCCAAATATCCACCTGCAGATTCTACCAAAAGTGTATTTGGAAACTGCTCCATCAAAAGGCATGTTCAGCTCTGTGAGTGAAACTCCATCATCACAAAGGATATTCTGAGAATGCTTCCGTTTGCCTTTTATATGAAGTTCCTTCCTATACTACCGTAGGCCTCAAAGCAGTCCAAATCTCCATTTGCAGATTCTACAAAAAGAGTGATTCCAATCTGCTCTATCAATAGGATTGTTCAACTCCATGAGTTGAATTCCATCCTCACAATGTCGTTTGTGAGAATGCTTCTATCTAGTTTTTATGTGAAGATATTTCCTTTTCCACCACAGGCCTCAAAGCCCTCCAAACGTCCACTTGCAGATTCTCGAAAAAGAGTGTTTCATAGCTGCTCTTTCAAAAGGAAAGTTCAACTCTGGGAGTTGAATACAAACATCCCAAAGTAGTTTCCGAGAATGCTTATATTTAGTTTTTATGTGAAGATGATCCCGTTTCCAGTGAAATCTTCAAAGAGGTCCACATATCCCCTTGCAGATTCCAAAGAAAGAGGGTTTCAAAACTGCTCCATCAGAAGGATTGTTCAACTCTGTGAGTTGAATGCAGTCATCGCAGAAAACTTTCTAAGAATGCTTCTGTCTAGGTTTGATGTGAAGATATAGACGTTTCAAACGAAGGCTACAAAGTGGTCAAAATATACACTTGCAGATTCTACTACAAGGGTGTTGCAAACCTGAACTATCAAAGGAAGGTTCAACTCTGTGAGTTGAATACAAACATCACAAAGAATGTTCTGAGTTTGCTTCCGTTCAGTTATGGGAAGTTGATCCCGTTTCCAACGAAATCCTCAGAGAGGTCCAAATATCCCCTTGCAGATTCTACAAAACGTGTGTTTGGAAACTGCTCCATCATAACGAATGTTCAGCTCCCTGAGTTAAACTCCATCGTCACAAAGAATTTTCTGAGAGTGCTACCGTCTGGTTTTTATATGAAGTTCTTTCCTTCACTACCACAGGCCTCAAAGCGGTCCAAATCTCCACTTGCAGATTCTACAAAAAGAGTGTTTGCAAACTGCTCTATCAAAAGGAATGTTCAACTCTGGGAGTTGAATGCAATCATCACAGAGCAGTTTCTGAGAATGCTTCTATGTCGTTTTTAGGAGAAGATATTTCCTTTTCCAACACAGTCCTCCAAGCCCGCTAAATAGCCACTTGCACATTGTAGAAAAAGTGTGTCAAAGCTGCGCTATCAAAGGGAAAGTTCAACTCTGTGAGGTGAATGCAAACATCCCAAAGAAGTTTCTGAGAATGCTTCCGTTTAGCTTTTAGGTGAAGATTATCCCGTTTCCAACGAAACCTTCAAAGAGGTCCAAATATCCCCTTGCGGATCCCACAGAAAGAGTGTTTCGAAACTGCTGTTTCAAAAGGAAAATCAACTCTGTGAGTTGAATGCAATCATCACAAAGAAGTTTCTGACAATGCTTCTCTCTCGTCTTTCTGTGAAGATAAAGGAAAAGGCTTTCAGGCCTTTTCCACCACAGGCCTGAAAGCGCTCCAAATGTCCACTTGCAGATTCTGCCAAAAGAATATTTCAAAACTGCTCTATGAAAAGCAATGTTAAACTCTGTGGCTCGAACACAAACATCACAAAGCGGTTTCTGAGAATGCTTCAGTTTAGTTTTTCTGTGGAAATATTCCCGTTTCCAAAGAAATCTTCAAAGAGGTCCACGTATCCACTTACAGATTCTACAAAAAGACAGTTTCAAAACTGCTCCATCAAAAGGAGGGTTCAACTGTGTGACTTGAATGCAATCATCACTCAGAAGTTTCTGAGAATGCTTCTCTTTAGTTTTTACGTGAACATATACCCGTTTCGAACGAAGGCCACCCAGTGGTCCAAATATCCACTTGCAGATTATACAGAAAGAGTGTTTCGAACCTGAACTCTCAAAGGCAGGTTCATCTCTGCGAGTTAAATGCATTCATCATGAAGAACTTTCTCAGAGTGTTTGTGCTTAGTTATGGGAAATTATTCCCGTTTCCAACGAAATCCTCAGAGTGGTCCAAATATCCACCTGCAGATTCTACCAAAAGTGTATTTGGAAACTGCTCCATCAAAAGGCATGTTCAGCTCTGTGAGTGAAACTCCATCATCACAAAGAATATTCTGAGAATGCTTCCGTTTGCCTTTTATATGAAGTTCCTTCCTATACGACCGTAGGCCTCAAAGCAGTCCAAATCTCCATTTGCAGATTCTACAAAAAGAGTGATTCCAATCTGCTCTATCAATAGGATTGTTCAACTCCATGAGTTGAATGCCATCCTCACAAAGTCGTTTCTGAGAATGCTTCTATCTGGTTTTTGTGTGAAGATATTTCCTTTTCCACCACAGGCCTCAAAGCCCTCCAAACGTCCACTTGCAGATTCTCGAAAAAGAGTGTTTCATAGCTGCTCTTTCAAAAGGAAAGTTCAACTCTGGGAGTTGAATACAAACATCACAAAATAGTTTCCGAGAATGCTTCTGTTTAGTTTTTATGTGAAGATGATCCCGTTTCCAGTGAAATCTTCAAAGAGGTCCACATATCCCCTTGCAGATTCCAAAGAAAGAGGGTTTCAAAACTGCTCCATCAGAAGGATTGTTCAACTCTGTGAGTTGAATGCAGTCATCCCAGAAAACTTTCTGAGAATGCTTCTGTCTAGGTTTGATGTGAAGATATAGACGTTTCAAACGAAGGCTACAAAGTGGTCAAAATATACACTTGCAGATTCTACTACAAGGGTGTTGCAAACCTGAACTATCAAAGGAAGGTTCAACTCTGTGAGTTGAATACAAACATCACAAAGAATGTTCTGAGTTTGCTTCCGTTCAGTTATGGGAAGTTGATCCCGTTTCCAACGAAATCCTCAGAGAGGTCCAAATATCCCCTCACAGATTCTACAAAACGTGTGTTTGGAAACTGCTCCATCATAACGAATGTTCAGCTCCCTGAGTTAAACTCCATCGTCACAAAGAATTTTCTGATAGTGCTACCGTCTGGTTTTTATATGAAGTTCTTTCCTTCACTACCACAGGCCTCAAAGCGGTCCAAATCTCCACTTGCAGATTCTACAAAAAGAGTGTTTGCAAACTGCTCTATCAAAAGGAATGTTCAACTCTGGGAGTTGAATGCAATCATCACAGAGCAGTTTCTGAGAATGCTTCTATGTCGTTTTTAGGAGAAGATATTTCCTTTTCCAACACAGTCCTCCAAGCCCGCTAAATAGCCACTTGCACATTGTAGAAAAAGTGTGTCAAAGCTGCGCTATCAAAGGGAAAGTTCAACTCTGTGAGGTGAATGCAAACATCCCAAAGAAGTTTCTGAGAATGCTTCCGTTTAGCTTTTAGGTGAAGATTATCCCGTTTCCAACGAAACCTTCAAAGAGGTCCAAATATCCCCTTGCGGATCCCACAGAAAGAGTGTTTCGAAACTGCTGTTTCAAAAGGAATCTTCAACTCTGTGAGTTGAATGCAATCATCCCAAAGAAGTTTCTGACAATGCTTCTCTCTCGTCTTTCTGTGAAGATAAAGGAAAAGGCTTTCAGGCCTTTTCCACCACAGGCCTGAAAGCGCTCCAAATGTCCACTTGCAGATTCTGCCAAAAGAATATTTCAAAACTGCTCTATGAAAAGCAATGTTAAACTCTGTGGCTCGAACACAAACATCACAAAGCAGTTTCTGAGAATGCTTCAGTTTAGTTTTTCTGTGGAAATATTCCCGTTTCCAAAGAAATCTTCAAAGAGGTCCACGTATCCACTTACAGATTCTACAAAAAGACAGTTTCAAAACTGCTCCATCAAAAGGAGGGTTCAACTGTGTGACTTGAATGCAATCATCACTCAGAAGTTTCTGAGAATGCTTCTCTTTAGTTTTTACGTGAACATATACCCGTTTCGAACGAAGGCCACCCAGTGGTCCAAATATCCACTTGCAGATTCTACAGAAAGAGTGTTTCGAACCTGAACTCTCAAAGGCAGGTTCATCTCTGCGAGTTAAATGCATTCATCATGAAGAACTTTCTCAGAGTGTTTGTGTTTAGTTATGGGAAATTATTCCCGTTTCCAAAGAAATCCTCAGAGAGCTCCAAATATCCACCTGCAGATTCTACCAAAAGTGTATTTGGAAACTGCTCCATCAAAAGGCATGTTCAGCTCTGTGAGTGAAACTCCATCATCACAAAGAATATTCTGAGAATGCTTCCGTTTGTCTTTTATATGAAGTTCCTTCCTGTACTACCGTAGGCCTCAAAGCAGTCCAAATCTCCATTTGCAGATTCTACAAAAAGAGTGATTCCAATCTGCTCTATCAATAGGATTGTTCAACTCCATGAGTTGAATGCCATCCTCACAAAGTAGTTTCTGAGAATGCTTCTATCTGGTTTTTGTGTGAAGATATTTCCTTTTCCACCACAGGCCTCAAAGCCCTCCAAACGTCCACTTGCAGATTCTCGAAAAAGAGTGTTTCATAGCTGCTCTTTCAAAAGGAAAGTTCAACTCTGGGAGTTGAATACAAACATCACAAAATAGTTTCCGAGAATGCTTCTGTTTAGTTTTTATGTGAAGATGATCCCGTTTCCAGTGAAATCTTCAAAGAGGTCCACATATCCCCTTGCAGATTCCAAAGAAAGAGGGTTTCAAAACTGCTCCATCAGAAGGATTGTTCAACTCTGTGAGTTGAATGCAGTCATCGCAGAAAACTTTCTGAGAATGCTTCTGTCTATGTTTGATGTGAAGATATAGATATTTCAAACGAAGGCTACAAAGTGGTCAAAATATACACTTGCAGATTCTACTACAAGGGTGTTGCAAACCTGAACTATCAAAGGAAGGTTCAACTCTGTGAGTTGAATACAAACATCACAAAGAATGTTCTGAGTTTGCTTCCGTTCAGTTATGGGAAGTTGATCCCGTTTCCAACGAAATCCTCAGAGAGGTCCAAATATCCCCTTGCAGATTCTACAAAACGTGTGTTTGGAAACTGCTCCATCATAACGAATGTTCAGCTCCCTGAGTTAAACTCCATCGTCACAAAGAATTTTCTGAGAGTGCTACCGTCTGGTTTTTATATGAAGTTCTTTCCTTTACTACCATAGGCCTCAAAGCGGTCCAAATCTCCACTTGCAGATTCTACAAAAAGAGTGTTTGCAAACTGCTCTATCAAAAGGAATGTTCAACCCTGGGAGTTGAATGCAATCATCACAGAGCAGTTTCTGAGAATGCTTCTATGTCGTTTTTAGGAGAAGATATTTCCTTTTCCAACACAGTCCTCCACGCCCGCTAAATATCCACTTGCACATTGTAGAAAAAGTGTGTCAAAGCTGCGCTATCAAAGGGAAAGTTCAACTCTGTGAGGTGAATGCAAACATCCCAAAGAAGTTTCTGAGAGTGCTTCCGTTTAGCTTTTAGGTGAAGATTATCCCGTTTCCAACGAAACCTTCAAAGAGGTCCAAATATCCCCTTGCGGATCCCACAGAAAGAGTGTTTCGAAACTGCTGTTTCAAAAGGAATCTTCAACTCTGTGAGTTGAATGCAATCATCACAAAGAAGTTTCTGACAATGCTTCTCTCTCGTCTTTCTGTGAAGATAAAGGAAAAGGCTTTCAGGCCTTTTCAACCACAGGCCTGAAAGCGCTCCAAATGTCCACTTGCAGATTCTGCCAAAAGAATATTTCAAAACTGCTCTATGAAAAGCAATGTTAAACTCTGTGGCTCGAACACAAACATCACATAGCAGTTTCTGAGAATGCTTCAGTTTAGTTTTTCTGTGGAAATATTCCCGTTTCCAAAGAAATATTCAAAGAGGTCCACGTATCCACTTACAGATTTTACAAAAAGACAGTTTCAAAACTGCTCAATCAAAAGGAGGGTTCAACTGTGTGACTTGAATGTAATCATCACTCAGAAGTTTCTGAGAATGCTTCTCTTTAGTTTTTACGTGAACATATACCCGTTTCGAACGAAGGCCAGCCAGTGGTCCAAATATCCACTTGCAGATTCTACAGAAAGAGTGTTTCGAACCTGAACTCTCAAAGGCAGGTTCATCTCTGCGAGTTAAATGCATTCATCATGAAGAACTTTCTCAGAGTGTTTGTGTTTAGTTATGGGAAATTATTCCCTTTTCCAACGAAATCCTCAGAGAGCTCCAAATATCCACCTGCAGATTCTACCAAAAGTGTATTTGGAAACTGCTCCATCAAAAGGCATGTTCAGCTCTGTGAGTGAAACTCCATCATCACAAAGAATATTCTGAGAATGCTTCCGTTTGCCTTTTATATGAAGTTCCTTCCTATACTACCGTAGGCCTCAAAGCAGTCCAAATCTCCATTTGCAGATTCTACAAAAAGAGTGATTCCAATCTGCTCTATCAATAGGATTGTTCAACTCCATGAGTTGAATGCCATCCTCACAAAGTAGTTTCTGAGAATGCTTCTATCTAGTTTTTATGTGAAGATATTTCCTTTTCCACCACAGGCCTCAAAGCCCTCCAAACGTCCACTTGCAGATTCTCGAAAAAGAGTGTTTCATAGCTGCTCTTTCAAAAGGAAATTTCAACTCTGGGAGTTGAATACAAACATCACAAAGAATGTTCTGAGTTTGCTTCCGTTCAGTTATGGGAAGTTGATCCCGTTTCCAACGAAATCCTCAGAGAGGTCCAAATATCCCCTTGCAGATTCTACAAAACGTGTGTTCGGAAACTGCTCCATCATAACGAATGTTCAGCTCCCTGAGTTAAACTCCATCGTCACAAAGAATTTTCTGAGAGTGCTACCGTCTGTTTTTTATATGAAGCTCTTTCCTTTACTACCCCAGTCCTCAAAGCGGTCCAAATCTCCACTTGCAGATTCTACAAAAAGAGTGTTTGCAAACTGCTCTATCAAAAGGAATGTTCAACTCTGGGAGTTGAATGCAATCATCACAGAGCAGTTTCTGAGAATGCTTCTATGTCGTTTTTAGGAGAAGATATTTCCTTTTCCAACACAGTCCTCCAAGCCCGCTAAATAGCCACTTGCACATTGTAGAAAAAGTGTGTCAAAGCTGCGCTATCAAAGGGAAAGTTCAACTCTGAGAGGTGAATGCAAACATCCCAAAGAAGTTTCTGAGAATGCTTCCGTTTAGCTTTTAGGTGAAGATTATCCCGTTTCCAACGAAACCTTCAAAGAGGTCCAAATATCCCCTTGCGGATCCCACAGAAAGAGTGTTTCGAAACTGCTGTTTCAAAAGGAATCTTCAACTCTGTGAGTTGAATGCAATCATCACAAAGAAGTTTCTGACAATGCTTCTCTCTCGTCTTTCTGTGAAGATAAAGGAAAAGGCTTTCAGGCCTTTTCCACCACAGGCCTGAAAACGCTCTAAATGTCCACTTGCAGATTCTGCCAAAAGAATATTTCAAAAGTGCTCTATGAAAAGCAATGTTAAACTCTGCGGCTCGAACACCAACATCACAAAGCAGTTTCTGAGAATGCTTCAGTTTAGTTTTTCTGTGGAAATATTCCCGTTTCCAAAGAAATCTTCCAAGAGGTCCACGAATCCACTTACAGATTCTACAAAAAGACAGTTTCAAAACTGCTCAATCAAAAGGCGGGTTCAACTGTGTGACTTGAATGCAATCATCACTCAGAAGTTTCTGAGAATGCTTCTCTTTAGTTTTTACGTGAACATATACCCGTTTCGAACGAAGGCCAGCCAGTGGTCCAAATATCCACTTGCAGATTCTACAGAAAGAGTGTTTCGAACCTGAACTCTCAAAGGCAGGTTCATCTCTGCGAGTTAAATGCATTCATCATGAAGAACTTTCTCAGAGTGTTTGTGTTTAGTTATGGGAAATTATTCCCGTTTCCAACGAAATCCTCCGACAGGTCCAAATATCCACCTGCAGATTCTACCAAAAGTGTATTTGGAAACTGCTCCATCAAAAGGCATGTTCAGCTCTGTGAGTGAAACTCCATCATGACAAAGAATATTCTGAGAATGCTTCCGTTTGCCTTTTATATGAAGTTCCTTCCTATACTACCGTAGGCCTCAAAGCAGTCCAAATCTCCATTTGCAGATTCTACAAAAAGAGTGATTCCAATCTGCTCTATCAATAGGATTGTTCAACTCCATGAGTTGAATGCCATCCTCACAAAGTCGTTTCTGAGAATGCTTCTATCTAGTTTTTATGTGAAGATATTTCCTTTTCCACCACAGGCCTCAAAGCCCTCCAAACGTCCGCTTGCAGATTCTCGAAAAAGAGTGTTTCATAGCTGCTCTTTCAAAAGGAAAGTTCAACTCTGGGAGTTGAATACAAACATCACAAAGTAGTTTCCGAGAATGCTTCTGTTTAGTTCTTATGTGAAGATGATCCCGTTTCCAGTGAAATCTTCAAAGAGGTCCACATATCCCCTTGCAGATTCCAAAGAAAGAGGGTTTCAAAACTGCTCCATCAAAAGGATTGTTCAACTCTGTGAGTTGAATGCAGTCATCGCAGAAAACTTTCTGAGAATGCTTCTGTCTAGGTTTGATGTGAAGATATAGACGTTTCAAACGAAGGCTACAAAGTGGTCAAAATATACTCTTGCAGATTCTACTACAAGGGTGTTGCAAACCTGAACTCTCAAAGGAAGGTTCAACTCTGTGAGTTGAATACAAACATACATCACAAAGAATGTTCTGAGTTTGCTTCCGTTCAGTTATGGGAAGTTGATCCCGTTTCCAACGAAATCCTCAGAGAGGTCCAAATATCCCCTTGCAGATTCTGCAAAACGTGTGTTTGGAAACTGCTCCATCATAACGAATGTTCAGCTCTCTGAGTTAAACTCCATCGTCACAAAGAATTGTCTGAGAGTGCTACCGTCTAGTTTTTATATGAAGTTCTTTCCTTTACTACCACAGGCCTCAAAGCGGTCCAAATCTCCACTTGCAGATTCTACAAAAAGAGTGTTTGCAAACTGCTCTATCAAAAGGAATGTTCAACTCTGGGAGTTGAATGCAATCATCACAGAGCAGTTTCTGAGAATGCTTCTATGTCGTTTTTAGGAGAAGATATTTCCTTTTCCAACACAGTCCTCCAAGCCCGCTAAATATCCACTTGCACATTGTAGAAAAAGTGTGTCAAAGCTGCGCTATCAAAGAGAAAGTTCAACTCTGTGAGGTGAATGCAAACATCCCAAAGAAGTTTCTGAGAATGCTTCCGTTTAGCTTTTAGGTGAAGATTATCCCGTTTCCAACGAAATCTTCAAAGAGGTCCAAATATCCCCTTGCGGATCCCACAGAAAGAGTGTTTCGAAACTGCTGTTTCAAAAGGAATCTTCAACTCTGTGAGTTGAATGCAATCATCACAAAGAAGTTTCTGACAATGCTTCTCTCTCGTCTTTCTGTGAAGATAAAGGAAAAGGCTTTCAGGCCTTTTCCACCACAGGCCTGAAAACGCTCTAAATGTCCACTTGCAGATTCTGCCAAAAGAATATTTCAAAAGTGCTCTATGAAAAGCAATGTTAAACTCTGCGGCTCGAACACCAACATCACAAAGCAGTTTCTGAGAATGCTTCAGTTTAGTTTTTCTGTGGAAATATTCCCGTTTCCAAAGAAATCTTCCAAGAGGTCCACGAATCCACTTACAGATTCTACAAAAAGACAGTTTCAAAACTGCTCAATCAAAAGGCGGGTTCAACTGTGTGACTTGAATGCAATCATCACTCAGAAGTTTCTGAGAATGCTTCTCTTTAGTTTTTACGTGAACATATACCCGTTTCGAACGAAGGCCAGCCAGTGGTCCAAATATCCACTTGCAGATTCTACAGAAAGAGTGTTTCGAACCTGAACTCTCAAAGGCAGGTTCATCTCTGCGAGTTAAATGCATTCATCATGAAGAACTTTCTCAGAGTGTTTGTGTTTAGTTATGGGAAATTATTCCCGTTTCCAACGAAATCCTCCGACAGGTCCAAATATCCACCTGCAGATTCTACCAAAAGTGTATTTGGAAACTGCTCCATCAAAAGGCATGTTCAGCTCTGTGAGTGAAACTCCATCATGACAAAGAATATTCTGAGAATGCTTCCGTTTGCCTTTTATATGAAGTTCCTTCCTATACTACCGTAGGCCTCAAAGCAGTCCAAATCTCCATTTGCAGATTCTACAAAAAGAGTGATTCCAATCTGCTCTATCAATAGGATTGTTCAACTCCATGAGTTGAATGCCATCCTCACAAAGTCGTTTCTGAGAATGCTTCTATCTAGTTTTTATGTGAAGATATTTCCTTTTCCACCACAGGCCTCAAAGCCCTCCAAACGTCCGCTTGCAGATTCTCGAAAAAGAGTGTTTCATAGCTGCTCTTTCAAAAGGAAAGTTCAACTCTGGGAGTTGAATACAAACATCACAAAGTAGTTTCCGAGAATGCTTCTGTTTAGTTCTTATGTGAAGATGATCCCGTTTCCAGTGAAATCTTCAAAGAGGTCCACATATCCCCTTGCAGATTCCAAAGAAAGAGGGTTTCAAAACTGCTCCATCAAAAGGATTGTTCAACTCTGTGAGTTGAATGCAGTCATCGCAGAAAACTTTCTGAGAATGCTTCTTTCTAGGTTTGATGTGAAGATATAGACGTTTCAAACGAAGGCTACAAAGTGGTCAAAATATACACTTGCAGATTCTACTACAAGGGTGTTGCAAACCTGAACTATCAAAGGAAGGTTCAACTCTGTGAGTTGAATACAAACATCACAAAGAATGTTCTGAGTTTGCTTCCGTTCAGTTATGGGAAGTTGATCCCGTTTCCAACGAAATCCTCAGAGAGGTCCAAATATCCCCTTGCAGATTCTACAAAACGTGTGTTTGGAAACTGCTCCATCATAACGAATGTTCAGCTCTCTGAGTTAAACTCCATCGTCACAAAGAATTTTCTGAGAGTGCTACCGTCTAGTTTTTATATGAAGTTCTTTCCTTTACTACCACAGGCCTCAAAGCGGTCCAAATCTCCACTTGCAGATTCTACAAAAAGAGTGTTTGCAAACTGCTCTATCAAAAGGAATGTTCAACTCTGGGAGTTGAATGCAATCATCACAGAGCAGTTTCTGAGAATGCTTCTATGTCGTTTTTAGGAGAAGATATTTCCTTTTCCAACACAGTCCTCCAAGCCCGCTAAATATCCACTTGCACATTGTAGAAAAAGTGTGTCGAAGCTGCGCTATCAAAGGGAAAGTTCAACTCTGTGAGGTGAATGCAAACATCCCAAAGAAGTTTCTGAGAATGCTTCCGTTTAGCTTTTAGGTGAAGATTATCCCGTTTCCAACGAAATCTTCAAAGAGGTCCAAATATCCCCTTGCGGATCCCACAGAAAGAGTGTTTCGAAACTGCTGTTTCAAAAGGAATCTTCAACTCTGTGAGTTGAATGCAATCATCACAAAGAAGTTTCTGACAATGCTTCTCTCTCGTCTTTCTGTGAAGATAAAGGAAAAGGCTTTCAGGCCTTTTCCACCACAGGCCTGAAAGCGCTCCAAATGTCCACTTGCAGATTCTGCCAAAAGAATATTTCAAAACTGCTCTATGAAAAGCAATGTTAAACTCTGTGGCTCGAACACAAACATCACAAAGCAGTTTCTGAGAATGCTTCAGTTTAGTTTTTCTGTGGAAATATTCCCGTTTCGAAAGAAATCTTCAAAGAGGTCCACGCATCCACTTACAGATTCTACAAAAAGACAGTTTCAAAACTGCTCAATCAAAAGGAGGGTTCAACCGTGTGACTTGAATGCAATCATCACTCAGAAGTTTCTGAGAATGCTTCTCTTTAGTTTTTACGTGAACATATACCCGTTTCGAACGAAGGCCACCCAGTGGTCCAAATATCCACTTGCAGATTCTACAGAAAGAGTGTTTCGAACCTGAACTCTCAAAGGCAGGTTCATCTCTGCGAGTTCAATGCATTCAACATGAAGAACTTTCTCAGCGTGTTTGTGTTTAGTTATGGGAAATTATTCCCGTTTCCAACGAAATCCTCAGAGAGGTCCAAATATCCACCTGCAGATTCTACCAAAAGTGTATTTGGAAACTGCTCCATCAAAAGGCATGTTCAGCTCTGTGAGTGAAACTCCATCATCACAAAGAATATTCTGAGAATGCTTCCGTTTGCCTTTTATATGAAGTTCCTTCCTATACTACCGTAGGCCTCAAAGCAGTCCAAATCTCCATTTGCAGATTCTACAAAAAGAGTGATTCCAATCTGCTCTATCAATAGGATTGTTCAACTCCATGATTTGAATGCCATCCTCACAAAGTCGTTTGTGAGAATGCTTCTATCTAGTTTTTATGTGAAGATATTTCCTTTTCCACCACAGGCCTCAAAGCCCTCCAAACGTCCACTTGCAGATTCTCGAAAAAGAGTGTTTCATAGCTGCTCTTTCAAAAGGAAATTTCAACTCTGGGAGTTGAATACAAACCTCACAAAGTAGTTTCCGAGAATGCTTCTGTTTAGTTCTTATGTGAAGATGATCCCGTTTCCAGTGAAATCTTCAAAGAGGTCCACATATCCCCTTGCAGATTCCAAAGAAAGAGGGTTTCAAAACTGCTCCATCAAAAGGATTGTTCAACTCTGTGAGTTGAATGCAGTCATCGCAGAAAACTTTCTGAGAATGCTTCTGTCTAGGTTTGAGGTGAAGATATAGACGTTTCAAACGAAGGCTACAAAGTGGTCAAAATATACACTTGCAGATTCTACTACAAGGGTGTTGCAAACTTCAACTATCAAAGGAAGGTTCAACTCTGTGAGTTGAATACAAACATCACAAAGAATGTTCTGAGTTTGCTTCCGTTCAGTTATGGGAAGTTGATCCCGTTTCCAACGAAATCCTCAGAGAGGTCCAAATATCCCCTTGCAGATTCTACAAAACGTGTGTTTGGAAACTGCTCCATCATAACGAATGTTCAGCTCTCTGAGTTAAACTCCATCGTCACAAAGAATTTTCTGAGGGTGCTACCTTCTAGTTTTTATATGAAGTTCTTTCCTTTACTACCACAGGCCTCAAAGTGGTCCAAATCTCCACTTGCAGATTCTACAAAAAGAGTGTTTGCAAACTGCTCTATCAAAAGGAATGTTCAACTCTGGGAGTTGAATGCAATCATCACAGAGCAGTTTCTGAGAATGCTTCTATGTCGTTTTTAGGAGAAGATATTTCCTTTTCCAACACAGTCCTCCAAGCCCGCTAAATATCCACTTGCACATTGTAGAAAAAGTGTGTCGAAGCTGCGCTATCAAAGGGAAAGTTCAACTCTGTGAGGTGAATGCAAACATCCCAAAGAAGTTTCTGAGAATGCTTCCGTTTAGCTTTAAGTGAAGATTATCCCGTTTCCAACGAAATCTTCAAAGAGGTCCAAATATCCCCTTGCGGATCCCACAGAAAGAGTGTTTCGAAACTGCTGTTTCAAAAGGAATCTTCAACTCTGTGAGTTGAATGCAATCATCACAAAGAAGTTTCTGACAATGCTTCTCTCTCGTCTTTCTGTGAAGATAAAGGAAAAGGCTTTCAGGCCTTTTCCACCACAGGCCTGAATGCGCTCCAAATGTCCACTTGCAGATTCTGCCAAAAGAATATTTCAAAACTGCTCTGTGAAAAGCAATGTTAAACTCTGTGACTCGAACACAAACATCACAAAGCAGTTTCTGAGAATGCTTCAGTTTAGTTTTTCTGTGGAAATATTCCCGTTTCCAAAGAAATCTTCAAAGAGGTCCACGCATCCACTTACAGATTCTACAAAAAGACAGTTTCAAAACTGCTCAATCAAAAGGAGGGTTCAACTGTGTGACTTGAATGCAATCATCACTCAGAAGTTTCTGAGAACGCTTCTCTTTAGTTTTTACGTGAACATATACCCGTTTGGAATGAAGGCCAGCCAGTGGTCCAAATATCCACTTGCAGATTCCACAGAAAGAGTGTTTCGAACCTGAACTCTCAAAGGCAGGTTCATCTCTGCGAGTTAAATGCATTCATCATGAAGAACTTTCTCAGCGTGTTTGTGTTTAGTTATGGGAAATTATTCCCGTTTCCAACGAAATCCTCAGAGAGCTCCAAATATCCACCTGCAGATTCTACCAAAAGTCTATTTGGAAACTGCTCCATCAAAAGGCATGTTCAGCTCTGTGAGTGAAACTCCATCATCACAAAGAATATTCTGAGAATGCTTCCGTTTGCCTTTTATATGAAGTTCCTTCCTATACTACCGTAGGCCTCAAAGCAGTCCAAATCTCCATTTGCAGATTCTACAAAAAGAGTGATTCCAATCTGCTCTATCAATATGATTGTTCAACTCCATGAGTTGAATGCCATCCTCACAAAGTAGTTTCTGAGAATGCTTCTATGTAGTTTTTATGTGAAGATATTTCCTTTTCCACCACAGGCCTCAAAGCCCTCCAAACGTCCACTTGCAGATTCTCGAAAAAGAGTGTTTCATAGCTGCTCTTTCAAAAGGAAATTTCAACTGTGGGAGTTGAATACAAACATCACAAAGTAGTTTCCGAGAATGCTTCTGTTTAGTTCTTATGTGAAGATGATCCCGTTTCCAGTGAAATCTTCAAAGAGGTCCACATATCCCCTTGCAGATTCCAAAGAAAGAGGGTTTCAAAACTGCTCCATCAAAAGGATTGTTCAACTCTGTGAGTTGAATGCAGTCATCGCAGAAAACTTTCTGAGAATGCTTCTGTCTAGGTTTGATGTGAAGATATAGACGTTTCAAATGAAGGCTACAAAGTGTTCAAAATATACACTTGCAGATTCTACTACAAGGGTGATGCAAACCTCAACTATCAAAGGAAAGTTCAACTCTGTGAGTTGAATACAAACATCACAAAGAATGTTCTGAGTTTGCTTCCGTTCAGTTATGGGAAGTTGATCCCGTTTCCTACGAAATCCTCAGAGAGGTCCAAATATCCCCTTGCAGATTCTACAAAACGTGTGTTTGGAAACTGCTCCATCATAACGAATGTTCAGCTCTCTGAGTTGAACTCCATCGTCACAAAGAATTTTCTGAGAGTGCTACCGTCTAGTTTTTATATGAAGTTCTTTCCTTTACTACCACAGGCCTCAAAGCGGTCCAAATCTCCACTTGCAGATTCTACAAAAAGAGTGTTTGCAAACTGCTCTATCAAAAGGAATGTTCAACTCTGGGAGTTGAATGCAATCATCACAGAGCAGTTTCTGAGAATGCTTCTATGTCGTTTTTAGGAGAAGATATTTCCTTTTCCAACACAGTCCTCCAAGCCCGCTAAATATCCACTTGCACATTGTAGAAAAAGTGTGTCGAAGCTGCGCTATCAAAGGGAAAGTTCAACTCTGTGAGGTGAATGCAAACATCCCAAAGAAGTTTCTGAGAATGCTTCCGTTTAGCTTTTAGGTGAAGATTATCCCGTTTCCAACGAAATCTTCAAAGAGGTCCAAATATCCCCTTGCGGATCCCACAGAAAGAGTGTTTCGAAACTGCTGTTTCAAAAGGAATCTTCAACTCTGTGAGTTGAATGCAATCATCACAAAGAAGTTTCTGACAATGCTTCTCTCTCGTCTTTCTGTGAAGATAAAGGAAAAGGCTTTCAGGCCTTTTCCACCACAGGCCTGAAAGCGCTCCAAATGTCCACTTGCAGATTCTGCCAAAAGAATATTTCAAAACTGCTCTATGAAAAGCAATGTTAAACTCTGTGGCTCGAACACAAACATCACAAAGCGGTTTCTGAGAATGCTTCAGTTTAGTTTTTCTGTGGAAATATTCCCGTTTCCAAAGAAATCTTCAAAGAGGTCCACGTATCCACTTACAGATTCTACAAAAAGACAGTTTCAAAACTGCTCCATCAAAAGGAGGGTTCAACTGTGTGACTTGAATGCAATCATCACTCAGAAGTTTCCTGAGAATGCTTCTCTCTTTAGTTTTTACGTGAACATATACCCGTTTCAAACGAAGGCCAGCCAGTGGTCCAAATATCCACTTGCAGATTCTACAGAAAGAGTGTTTCGAACCTGAACTCTCAAAGGCAGGTTCATCTCTGCGAGTTAAATGCATTCATCATGAAGAACTTTCTCAGAGTGTTTGTGTTTAGTTATGGGAAATTATTCCCGTTTCCAACGAAATCCTCAGAGAGCTCCAAATATCCACCTGCAGATTCTACCAAAAGTGTATTTGGAAACTGCTCCATCAAAAGGCATGTTCAGCTCTGTGAGTGAAACTCCATCATCACAAAGAATATTCTGAGAATGCTTCCGTTTGCCTTTTATATGAAGTTCCTTCCTGTACTACCGTAGGCCTCAAAGCAGTCCAAATCTCCATTTGCAGATTCTACAAAAAGAGTGATTCCAATCTGCTCTATCAATAGGATTGTTCAACTCCATTAGTTGAATGCCATCCTCACAAAGTAGTTTCTGAGAATGCTTCTATCTGGTTTTTGTGTGAAGATATTTCCTTTTCCACCACAGGCCTCAAAGCCCTCCAAACGTCCACTTGCAGATTCTCGAAAAAGAGTGTTTCATAGCTGCTCTTTCAAAAGGAAAGTTCAACTCTGGGAGTTGAATACAAACATCACAAAGTAGTTTCCGAGAATGCTTCAGTTTAGTTTTTATGTGAAGATGATCCCGTTTCCAGTGAAATCTTCAAAGAGGTCCACATATCCCCTTGCAGATTCCAAAGAAAGAGGGTTTCAAAACTGCTCCATCAGAAGGATTGTTCAACTCTGTGAGTTGAATGCAGTCATCGCAGAAAACTTTCTGAGAATGCTTCTGTCTAGGTTTGATGTGAAGATATAGATGTTTCAAACGAAGGCTACAAAGTGGTCAAAATATACACTTGCAGATTCTACTACAAGGGTGTTGCAAACCTGAACTATCAAAGGAAGGTTCAACTCTGTGAGTTGAATACAAACATCACAAAGAATGTTCTGAGTTTGCTTCCGTTCAGTTATGGGAAGTTGATCCCGTTTCCAACGAAATCCTCAGAGAGGTCCAAATATCCCCTTGCAGATTCTACAAAACGTGTGTTTGGAAACTGCTCCATCATAACGAATGTTCAGCTCCCTGAGTTAAACTCCATCGTCACAAAGAATTTTCTGAGAGTGCTACCGTCTGGTTTTTATATGAAGTTCTTTCCTTCACTACCACAGGCCTCAAAGCGGTCCAAATCTCCACTTGCAGATTCTACAAAAAGAGTGTTTGCGAACTGCTCTATCAAAAGGAATGTTCAACTCTGGGAGTTGAATGCAATCATCACAGAGCAGTTTCTGAGAATGCTTCTATGTCGTTTTTAGGAGAAGATATTTCCTTTTCCAACACAGTCCTCCAAGCCCGCTAAATATCCACTTGCACATTGTAGAAAAAGTGTGTCAAAGCTGCGCTATCAAAGGGAAAGTTCAACTCTGAGAGGTGAATGCAAACATCCCAAAGAAGTTTCTGAGAGTGCTTCCGTTTAGCTTTTAGGTGAAGATTATCCCGTTTCCAACGAAACCTTCAAAGAGGTCCAAATATCCCCTTGCGGATCCCACAGAGTGTTTCGAAACTGCTGTTTCAAAAGGAATCTTCAACTCTGTGAGTTGAATGCAATCATCACAAAGAAGTTTCTGACAATGCTTCTCTCTCGCCTTTCTGTGAAGGTAAAGGAAAAGGCTTTCAGGCCTTTTCCACCACAGGCCTGAAAGCGCTCCAAATGTCCACTTGCAGATTCTGCCAAAAGAATATTTCAAAACTGCTCTATGAAAAGCAATGTTAAACTCTGTGGCTCGAACACAAACATCACAAAGCGGTTTCTGAGAATGCTTCAGTTTAGTTTTTCTGTGGAAATATTCCCGTTTCCAAAGAAATCTTCAAAGAGGTCCACGTATCCACTTACAGATTCTACAAAAAGACAGTTTCAAAACTGCTCCATCAAAAGGAGGGTTCAACTGTGTGAGTTGAATGCAATCATCACTCAGAAGTTTCTGAGAATGCTTCTCTTTAGTTTTTACGTGAACATATACCCGTTTCGAACGAAGGCCAGCCAGTGGTCCAAATATCCACTTGCAGATTCTACAGAAAGAGTGTTTCGAACCTGAACTCTCAAAGGCAGGTTCATCTCTGCGAGTTAAATGCATTCATCATGAAGAACTTTCTCAGAGTGTTTGTGTTTAGTTATGGGAAATTATTCCCGTTTCCAACGAAATCCTCAGAGAGCTCCAAATATCCACCTGCAGATTCTACCAAAAGTGTATTTGGAAACTGCTCCATCAAAAGGCATGTTCAGCTCTGTGAGTGAAACTCCATCATCACAAAGAATATTCTGAGAATGCTTCCGTTTGCCTTTTATATGAAGTTCCTTCCTATACGACCGTAGGCCTCAAAGCAGTCCAAATCTCCATTTGCAGATTCTACAAAAAGAGTGATTCCAATCTGCTCTATCAATAGGATTGTTCAACTCCATGAGTTGAATGCCATCCTCACAAAGTAGTTTCTGGGAATGCTTCTATCTAGTTTTCATGTGAAGATATTTCCTTTTCCACCACAGGCCTCAAAGCCCTCCAAACGTCCACTTGCAGATTCTCGAAAAAGAGTGTTTCATAGCTGCTCTTTCAAAAGGAAAGTTCAACTCTGGGAGTTGAATACAAACATCACAAAGTAGTTTCCGAGAATGCTTCTGTTTAGTTTTTATGTGAAGATGATCCCGTTTCCAGTGAAATCTTCAAAGAGGTCCACATATCCCCTTGCAGATTCCAAAGAAAGAGGGTTTCAAAACTGCTCCATCAGAAGGATTGTTCAACTCTGTGAGTTGAATGCAGTCATCGCAGAAAACTTTCTGAGAAGGCTTCTGTCTAGGTTTGATGTGAAGATATAGACGTTTCAAACGAAGGCTACAAAGTGGTCAAAATATACACTTGCAGATTCTACTACAAGGGTGTTGCAAACCTGAACTATCAAAGGAAGGTTCAACTCTGTGAGTTGAATACAAACATCACAAGGAATGTTCTGAGTTTGCTTCCGTTCAGTTATGGGAAGTTGATCCCGTTTCCAACGAAATCCTCAGAGAGGTCCAAATATCCCCTTTCAGATTCTACAAAACGTGTGTTTGGAAACTGCTCCATCATAACGAATGTTCAGCTCCCTGAGTTAAACTCCATCGTCACAAAGAATTTTCTGAGAGTGCTACCGTCTGGTTTTTATATGAAGTTCTTTCCTTCACTACCACAGACCTCAAAGCGGTCCAAATCTCCACTTGCAGATTCTACAAAAAGAGTGTTTGCAAACTGCTCTATCAAAAGGAATGTTCAACTCTGGGAGTTGAATGCAATCATCACAGAGCAGTTTCTGAGAATGCTTCTATGTCGTTTTTAGGAGAAGATATTTCCTTTTCCAACACAGTCCTCCAAGCCCGCTAAATAGCCACTTGCACATTGTAGAAAAAGTGTGTCAAAGCTGCGCTATCAAAGGGAAAGTTCAACTCTGTGAGGTGAATGCAAACATCCCAAAGAAGTTTCTGAGAATGCTTCCGTTTAGCTTTTAGGTGAAGATTATCCCGTTTCCAACGAAACCTTCAAAGAGGTCCAAATATCCCCTTGCGGATCCCACAGAAAGAGTGTTTCGAAACTGCTGTTTCAAAAGGAATCTTCAACTCTGTGAGTTGAATGCAATCATCACAAAGAAGTTTCTGACAATGCTTCTCTCTCGTCTTTCTGTGAAGATAAAGGAAAAGGCTTTCAGGCCTGTTCCACCACAGGCCTGAAAGCGCTCCAAATGTCCACTTGCAGATTCTGCGAAAAGAATATTTCAAAACTGCTCTATGAAAAGCAATGTTAAACTCTGTGGCTGGAACACAAACATCACAAAGCGGTTTCTGAGAATGTTTCAGTTTAGTTTTTCTGTGGAAATATTCCCGTTTCCAAAGAAATCTTCAAAGAGGTCCACGTATCCACTTACAGATTCTACAAAAAGACAGTTTCAAAACTGCTCCATCAAAAGGAGGGTTCAACTGTGTGACTTGAATGCAATCATCACTCAGAAGTTTCTGAGAATGCTTCTCTTTAGTTTTTACGTGAACATATACCCGTTTCGAACGAAGGCCACCCAGTGGTCCAAATATCCACTTGCAGATTCTACAGAAAGAGTGTTTCGAACCTGAACTCTCAAAGGCAGGTTCATCTCTGCGAGTTAAATGCATTCATCATGAAGAACTTTCTCAGAGTGTTTGTGTTTAGTTATGGGAAATTATTCCCGTTTCCAACGAAATCCTCAGAGAGCTCCAAATATCCACCTGCAGATTCTACCAAAAGTGTATTTGGAAACTGCTCCATCAAAAGGCATGTTCAGCTCTGTGAGTGAAACTCCATCATCACAAAGAATATTCTGAGAATGCTTCCGTTTGCCTTTTATATGAAGTTCCTTCCTATACTACCGTAGGCCTCAAAGCAGTCCAAATCTCCATTTGCAGATTCTACAAAAAGAGTGATTCCAATCTGCTCTATCAATAGGATTGTTCAACTCCATGAGTTGAATGCCATCCTCACAAAGTAGTTTCTGAGAATGCTTCTATGTAGTTTTTATGTGAAGATATTTCCTTTTCCACCACAGGCCTCAAAGCCCTCCAAACGTCCACTTGCAGATTCTCGAAAAAGAGTGTTTCATAGCTGCTCTTTCAAAAGGAAATTTCAACTGTGGGAGTTGAATACAAACATCACAAAGTAGTTTCCGAGAATGCTTCTGTTTAGTTCTTATGTGAAGATGATCCCGTTTCCAGTGAAATCTTCAAAGAGGTCCACATATCCCCTTGCAGATTCCAAAGAAAGAGGGTTTCAAAACTGCTCCATCAAAAGGATTGTTCAACTCTGTGAGTTGAATGCAGTCATCGCAGAAAACTTTCTGAGAATGCTTCTGTCTAGGTTTGATGTGAAGATATAGACGTTTCAAACGAAGGCTACAAAGTGGTCAAAATATACACTTGCAGATTCTACTACAAGGGTGTTGCAAACCTCAACTATCAAAGGAAGGTTCAACTCTGTGAGACGAATGCAAACATCACAAAGAATGTTCTGAGTTTGCTCCGTTCAGTTATGGGAAGTTGATCCCGTTTCCAACGAAATCCTCAGAGAGGTCCAAATATCCCCTTGCAGATTCTACAAAACGTGTGTTTGGAAACTGCTCCATCATAACGAATGTTCAGCTCTGCTGAGTTAAACTCCATCGTCACAAAGAATTTTCTGAGAGTGCTAACCGTCTGGTTTTTATATGAAGTTCTTTCCTTCACTACCACAGGCCTCAAAGCGGTCCAAATCTCCACTTGCAGATTCTACAAAAAGAGTGTTTGCAAACTGCTCTATCAAAAGGAATGTTCAACTCTGGGAGTTGAATGCAATCATCACAGAGCAGTTTCTGCGAATGCTTCTATGTCGTTTTTAGGAGAAGATATTTCCTTTTCCAACACAGTCCTCCAAGCCCGCTAAATAGCCACTTGCACATTGTAGAAAAAGTGTGTCAAAGCTGCGCTATCAAAGGGAAAGTTCAACTCTGTGAGGTGAATGCAAACATCCCAAAGAAGTTTCTGAGAATGCTTCCGTTTAGCTTTTAGGTGAAGATTATCCCGTTTCCAACGAAACCTTCAAAGAGGTCCAAATATCCCCTTGCGGATCCCACAGAAAGAGTGTTTCGAAACTGCTGTTTCAAAAGGAATCTTCAACTCTGTGAGTTGAATGCAATCATCACAAAGAAGTTTCTGACAATGCTTCTCTCTCGTCTTTCTGTGAAGATAAAGGAAAAGGCTTTCAGGCCTTTGCCACCACAGGCCTGAAAGCGCTCCAAATGTCCACTTGCAGATTCTGCGAAAAGAATATTTCAAAACTGCTCTATGAAAAGCAATGTTAAACTCTGTGGCTCGAACACAAACATCACAAAGCAGTTTCTGAGAATGCTTCAGTTTAGTTTTTCTGTGGAAATATTCCCGTTTCCAAAGAAATCTTCAAAGAGGTCCACGTATCCACTTACAGATTCTACAAAAAGACAGTTTCAAAACTGCTCCATCAAAAGGAGGGTTCAACCGTGTGACTTGAATGCAATCATCACTCAGAAGTTTCTGAGAATGCTTCTCTTTAGTTTTTACGTGAACATATACCCGTTTCGAACGAAGGCCACCCAGTGGTCCAAATATCCACTTGCAGATTCTACAGAAAGAGTGTTTCGAACCTGAACTCTCAAAGGCAGGTTCATCTCTGCGAGTTAAATGCATTCATCATGAAGAACTTTCTCAGAGTGTTTGTGTTTAGTTATGGGAAATTATTCCCGTTTCCAACGAAATCCTCAGAGAGCTCCAAATATCCACCTGCAGATTCTACCAAAAGTGTATTTGGAAACTGCTCCATCAAAAGGCATGTTCAGCTCTGTGAGTGAAACTCCATCATCACAAAGAATATTCTGAGAATGCTTCCGTTTGCCTTTTATATGAAGTTCCTTCCTATACTACCGTAGGCCTCAAAGCAGTCCAAATCTCCATTTGCAGATTCTACAAAAAGAGTGATTCCAATCTGCTCTATCAATAGGATTGTTCAACTCCATGAGTTGAATGCCATCCTCACAATGTCGTTTCTGAGAATGCTTCTATCTAGTTTTTATGTGAAGATATTTCCTTTTCCACCACAGGCCTCAAAGCCCTCCAAACGTCCACTTGCAGATTCTCGAAAAAGAGTGTTTCATAGCTGCTCTTTCAAAAGGAAAGTTCAACTCTGGGAGTTGAATACAAACATCACAAAGTAGTTTCCGAGAATGCTTCTGTTTAGTTTTTATGTGAAGATGATCCCGTTTCCAGTGAAATCTTCAAAGAGGTCCACATATCCCCTTGCAGATTCCAAAGAAAGAGGGTTTCAAAACTGCTCCATCAGAAGGATTGTTCAACTCTGTGAGTTGAATGCAGTCATCGCAGAAAACTTTCTGAGAATGCTTCTGTCTAGGTTTGATGTGAAGATATAGCATGTTTCAAACGAAGGCTACAAAGTGGTCAAAATATACACTTGCAGATTCTACTACAAGGGTGTTGCAAACCTGAACTATCAAAGGAAGGTTCAACTCTGTGAGTTGAATACAAACATCACAAAGAATGTTCTGAGTTTGCTTCCGTTCAGTTATGGGAAGTTGATCCCGTTTCCAACGAAATCCTCAGAGAGGTCCAAATATCCCCTTGCAGATTCTACAAAACGTGTGTTTGGAAACTGCTCCATCATAACGAATGTTCAGCTCCCTGAGTTAAACTCCATCGTCACAAAGAATTTTCTGAGAGTGCTACCGTCTGGTTTTTATATGAAGTTCTTTCCTTCACTACCACAGGCCTCAAAGCGGTCCAAATCTCCACTTGCAGATTCTACAAAAAGAGTGTTTGCAAACTGCTCTATCAAAAGGAATGTTCAACTCTGGGAGTTGAATGCAATCATCACAGAGCAGTTT
Organism: Homo sapiens; assembly: GCF_000001405.40. Lineage (NCBI taxonomy): Eukaryota > Metazoa > Chordata > Mammalia > Primates > Hominidae > Homo > Homo sapiens. The sequence continues at coordinate 58,696,983 of NC_000023.11, read as the reverse complement.
CTGAGAATGCTTCTATGTCGTTTTTAGGAGAAGATATTTCCTTTTCCAACACTGTCCTCCAAGTCCGCTAAATAGCCACTTGCACATTGTAGAAAAAGTGTGTCAAAGCTGCGCTATCAAAGGGAAAGTTCAACTCTGTGAGGTGAATGCAAACATCCCAAAGAAGTTTCTGAGAATGCTTCCGTTTAGCTTTTAGGTGAAGATTATCCCGTTTCCAACGAAACCTTCAAAGAGGTCCAAATATCCCCTTGCGGATCCCACAGAAAGAGTGTTTCGAAACTGCTGTTTCAAAAGGAATCTTCAACTCTGTGAGTTGAATGCAATCATCACAAAGAAGTTTCTGACAATGCTTCTCTCTCGTCTTTCTGTGAAGATAAAGGAAAAGGCTTTCAGGCCTTTTCCACCACAGGCCTGAAAGCGCTCCAAATGTCCACTTGCAGATTCTGCGAAAAGAATATTTCAAAACTGCTCTATGAAAAGCAATGTTAAACTCTGTGGCTGGAACACAAACATCACAAAGCGGTTTCTGAGAATGTTTCAGTTTAGTTTTTCTGTGGAAATATTCCCGTTTCCAAAGAAATCTTCAAAGAGGTCCACGTATCCACTTACAGATTCTACAAAAAGACAGTTTCAAAACTGCTCCATCAAAAGGAGGGTTCAACTGTGTGACTTGAATGCAATCATCACTCAGAAGTTTCTGAGAATGCTTCTCTTTAGTTTTTACGTGAACATATACCCGTTTCGAACGAAGGCCACCCAGTGGTCCAAATATCCACTTGCAGATTCTACAGAAAGAGTGTTTCGAACCTGAACTCTCAAAGGCAGGTTCATCTCTGCGAGTTAAATGCATTCATCATGAAGAACTTTCTCAGAGTGTTTGTGTTTAGTTATGGGAAATTATTCCCGTTTCCAACGAAATCCTCAGAGAGCTCCAAATATCCACCTGCAGATTCTACCAAAAGTGTATTTGGAAACTGCTCCATCAAAAGGCATGTTCAGCTCTGTGAGTGAAACTCCATCATCACAAAGAATATTCTGAGAATGCTTCCGTTTGCCTTTTATATGAAGTTCCTTCCTGTACTACCGTAGGCCTCAAAGCAGTCCAAATCTCCATTTGCAGATTCTATAAAAAGAGTGATTCCAATCTGCTCTATCAATAGGATTGTTCAACTCCATGAGTTGAATGCCATCCTCACAAAGTAGTTTCTGAGAATGCTTCTATCTGGTTTTTGTGTGAAGATATTTCCTTTTCCACCACAGGCCTCAAAGCCCTCCAAACGTCCACTTGCAGATTCTCGAAAAAGAGTGTTTCATAGCTGCTCTTTCAAAAGGAAAGTTCAACTCTGGGAGTTGAATACAAACATCACAAAGTAGTTTCCGAGAATGCTTCTGTTTAGTTTTTATGTGAAGATGATCCCGTTTCCAGTGAAATCTTCAAAGAGGTCCACATATCCCCTTGCAGATTCCAAAGAAAGAGGGTTTCAAAACTGCTCCATCAGAAGGATTGTTCAACTCTGTGAGTTGAATGCAGTCATCGCAGAAAACTTTCTGAGAATGCTTCTGTCTAGGTTTGATGTGAAGATATAGACGTTTCAAACGAAGGCTACAAAGTGGTCAAAATATACACTTGCAGATTCTACTACAAGGGTGTTGCAAACCTGAACTATCAAAGGAAGGTTCAACTCTGTGAGTTGAATACAAACATCACAAAGAATGTTCTGAGTTTGCTTCCGTTCAGTTATGGGAAGTTGATCCCGTTTCCAACGAAATCCTCAGAGAGGTCCAAATATCCCCTTGCAGATTCTACAAAACATGTGTTTGGAAACTGCTCCATCATAAGGAATGTTCAGCTCCCTGAGTTAAACTCCATCGTCACAAAGAATTTTCTGAGAGTGCTACCGTCTGGTTTTTATATGAAGTTCTTTCCTTCACTACCACAGGCCTCAAAGCGGTCCAAATCTCCACTTGCAGATTCTACAAAAAGAGTGTTTGCAAACTGCTCTATCAAAAGGAATGTTCAACCCTGGGAGTTGAATGCAATCATCACAGAGCAGTTTCTGAGAATGCTTCTATGTCGTTTTTAGGAGAAGATATTTCCTTTTCCAACACAGTCCTCCAAGCCCGCTAAATAGCCACTTGCACATTGTAGAAAAAGTGTGTCAAAGCTGCGCTATCAAAGGGAAAGTTCAACTCTGTGAGGTGAATGCAAACATCCCAAAGAAGTTTCTGAGAATGCTTCCGTTTAGCTTTTAGGTGAAGATTATCCCGTTTCCAACGAAACCTTCAAAGAGGTCCAAATATCCCCTTGCGGATCCCACAGAAAGAGTGTTTCGAAACTGCTGTTTCAAAAGGAATCTTCAACTCTGTGAGTTGAATGCAATCATCACAAAGAAGTTTCTGACAATGCTTCTCTCTCGTCTTTCTGTGAAGATAAAGGAAAAGGCTTTCAGGCCTTTTCCACCACAGGCCTGAAAGCGCTCCAAATGTCCACTTGCAGATTCTGCGAAAAGAATATTTCAAAACTGCTCTATGAAAAGCAATGTTAAACTCTGTGGCTGGAACACAAACATCACAAAGCGGTTTCTGAGAATGTTTCAGTTTAGTTTTTCTGTGGAAATATTCCCGTTTACAAAGAAATCTTCAAAGAGGTCCACGTATCCACTTACAGATACTACAAAAAGACAGTTTCAAAACTGCTCCATCAAAAGGAGGGTTCAACTGTGTGACTTGAATGCAATCATCACTCAGAAGTTTCTGAGAATGCTTCTCTTTAGTTTTTACGTGAACATATACCCGTTTCGAACGAAGGCCACCCAGTGGTCCAAATATCCACTTGCAGATTCTACAGAAAGAGTGTTTCGAACCTGAACTCTCAAAGGCAGGTTCATCTCTGCGAGTTAAATGCATTCATCATGAAGAACTTTCTCAGAGTGTTTGTGTTTAGTTATGGGAAATTATTCCCGTTTCCAACGAAATCCTCAGAGAGCTCCAAATATCCACCTGCAGATTCTACCAAAAGTGTATTTGGAAACTGCTCCATCAAAAGGCACGTTCAGCTCTGTGAGTGAAACTCCATCATCACAAAGAATATTCTGAGAATGCTTCCGTTTGCCTTTTATATGAAGTTCCTTCCTATACGACCGTAGGCCTCAAAGCAGTCCAAATCTCCATTTGCAGATTCTACAAAAAGAGTGATTCCAATCTGCTCTATCAATAGGATTGTTCAACTCCATGAGTTGAATGCCATCCTCACAAAGTAGTTTCTGAGAATGCTTCTATCTAGTTTTTATGTGAAGATATTTCCTTTTCCACCACAGGCCTCAAAGCCCTCCAAACGTCCACTTGCAGATTCTCGAAAAAGAGTGTTTCATAGCTGCTCTTTCAAAAGGAAAGTTCAACTCTGGGAGTTGAATACAAACATCACAAAGTAGTTTCCGAGAATGCTTCTGTTTAGTTTTTATGTGAAGATGATCCCGTTTCCAGTGAAATCTTCAAAGAGGTCCACATATCCCCTTGCAGATTCCAAAGAAAGAGGGTTTCAAAACTGCTCCATCAGAAGGATTGTTCAACTCTGTGAGTTGAATGCAGTCATCGCAGAAAACTTTCTGAGAATGCTTCTGTCTAGGTTTGATGTGAAGATATAGACGTTTCAAACGAAGGCTACAAAGTGGTCAAAATATACACTTGCAGATTCTACTACAAGGGTGTTGCAAACCTGAACTATCAAAGGAAGGTTCAACTCTGTGAGTTGAATACAAACATCACAAAGAATGTTCTGAGTTTGCTTCCGTTCAGTTATGGGAAGTTGATCCCGTTTCCAACGAAATCCTCAGAGAGGTCCAAATATCCCCTTGCAGATTCTACAAAACGTGTGTTTGGAAACTGCTCCATCATAACGAATGTTCAGCTCCCTGAGTTAAACTCCATCGTCACAAAGAATTTTCTGAGAGTGCTACCGTCTGGTTTTTATATGAAGCTCTTTCCTTCACTACCACAGGCCTCAAAGCGATCCAAATCTCCACTTGCAGATTCTACAAAAAGAGTGTTTGCAAACTGCTCTATCAAAAGGAATGTTCAACTCTGGGAGTTGAATGCAATCATCACAGAGCAGTTTCTGAGAATGCTTCTATGTCGTTTTTAGGAGAAGATATTACCTTTTCCAACACAGTCCTCCTAGCCCGCTAAATAGCCACTTGCACATTGTAGAAAAAGTGTGTCAAAGCTGCGCTATCAAAGGGAAAGTTCAACTCTGTGAGGTGAATGCAAACATCCCAAAGAAGTTTCTGAGAATGCTTCCGTTTAGCTTTTAGGTGAAGATTATCCCGTTTCCAACGAAACCTTCAAAGAGGTCCAAATATCCCCTTGCGGATCCCACAGAAAGAGTGTTTCGAAACTGCTGTTTCAAAAGGAATCTTCAACTCTGTGAGTTGAATGCAATCATCACAAAGAAGTTTCTGACAATGCTTCTCTCTCGTCTTTCTGTGAAGATAAAGGAAAAGGCTTTCAGGCCTTTTCCACCACAGGCCTGAAAGCGCTCCAAATGTCCACTTGCAGATTCTGTGAAAAGAATATTGCAAAACTGCTCTATGAAAAGCAATGTTAAACTCTGTGGCTCGAACACAAACATCACAAAGCAGTTTCTGAGAATGCTTCAGTTTAGTTTTTCTGTGGAAATATTCCCGTTTCCAAAGAAATCTTCAAAGAGGTCCACGTATCCACTTACAGATTCTACAAAAAGACAGTTTCAAAACTGCTCCATCAAAAGGAGGGTTCAACTGTGTGACTTGAATGCAATCATCACTCAGAAGTTTCTGAGAATGCTTCTCTTTAGTTTTTACGTGAACATATACCCGTTTCGAACGAAGGCCAGCCAGTGGTCCAAATATCCACTTGCAGATTCTACAGAAAGAGTGTTTCGAACCTGAACTCTCAAAGGCAGGTTCATCTCTGCGAGTTAAATGCATTCATCATGAAGAACTTTCTCAGAGTGTTTGTGTTTAGTTATGGGAAATTATTCCCGTTTCCAACGAAATCCTCAGAGAGCTCCAAATATCCACCTGCAGATTCTACCAAAAGTGTATTTGGAAACTGCTCCATCAAAAGGCATGTTCAGCTCTGTCAGTGAAACTCCATCATCACAAAGAATATTCTGAGAATGCTTCCGTTTGCCTTTTATCTGAAGTTCCTTCCTATACGACCGTAGGCCTCAAAGCAGTCCAAATCTCCATTTGCAGATTCCACAAAAAGAGTGATTCCAATCTGCTCTATCAATAGGATTGTTCAACTCCATGAGTTGAATGCCATCCTCACAAAGTCGTTTCTGAGAATGCTTCTATCTAGTTTTTATGTGAAGATATTTCCTTTTCCACCACAGGCCTCAAAGCCCTCCAAACGTCCACTTGCAGATTCTCGAAAAAGAGTGTTTCATAGCTGCTCTTTCAAAAGGAAAGTTCAACTCTGGGAGTTGAATACAAACATCACAAAGTAGTTTCCGAGAATGCTTCTGTTTAGTTTTTATGTGAAGATGATCCCGTTTCCAGTGAAATCTTCAAAGAGGTCCACATATCCCCTTGCAGATTCCAAAGAAAGAGGGTTTCAAAACTGCTCCATCAGAAGGATTGTTCAACTCTGTGAGTTGAATGCAGTCATCGCAGAAAACTTTCTGAGAATGCTTCTGTCTAGGTTTGATGTGAAGATATAGACGTTTCAAACGAAGGCTACAAAGTGGTCAAAATATACACTTGCAGATTCTACTACAAGGGTTTTGCAAACCTGAACTATCAAAGGAAGGTTCAACTCTGTGAGTTGAATACAAACATAACAAAGAATGTTCTGAGTTTGCTTCCGTTCAGTTATGGGAAGTTGATCCCGTTTCCAACGAAATCCTCAGAGAGGTCCAAATATCCCCTCGCAGATTCTACAAAACGTGTGTTTGGAAACTGCTCCATCATAACGAATGTTCAGCTCCCTGAGTTAAACTCCATCGTCACAAAGAATTTTCTGAGAGTGCTACCGTCTGGTTTTTATATGAAGTTCTTTCCTTCACTACCACAGGCCTCAAAGCGGTCCAAATCTCCACTTGCAGATTCTACAAAAAGAGTGTTTGCAAACTGCTCTATCAAAAGGAATGTTCAACTCTGGGAGTTGAATGCAATCATCACAGAGCAGTTTCTGAGAATGCTTCTATGTCGTTTTTAGGAGAAGATATTTCCTTTTCCAACACAGTCCTCCAAGTCCGCTAAATAGCCACTTGCACATTGTAGAAAAAGTGTGTCAAAGCTGCGCTATCAAAGGGAAAGTTCAACTCTGTGAGGTGAATGCAAACATCCCAAAGAAGTTTCTGAGAATGCTTCCGTTTAGCTTTTAGGTGAAGATTATCCCGTTTCCAACGAAACCTTCAAAGAGGTCCAAATATCCCCTTGCGGATCCCACAGAAAGAGTGTTTCGAAACTGCTGTTTCAAAAGGAATCTTCAACTCTGTGAGTTGAATGCAATCATCACAAAGAAGTTTCTGACAATGCTTCTCTCTCGTCTTTCTGTGAAGATAAAGGAAAAGGCTTTCAGGTCTTTTCCACCACAGGCCTGAAAGCGCTCCAAATGTCCACTTGCAGATTCTGCCAAAAGAATATTTCAAAACTGCTCTATGAAAAGCAATGTTAAACTCTGCGGCTCGAACACAAACATCACAAAACAGTTTCTGAGAATGCTTCAGTTTAGTTTTTCTGTGAAAATATTCCCGTTTCCAAAGAAATCTTCAAAGAGGTCCACGTATCCACTTACAGATTCTACAAAAAGACAGTTTCAAAACTGCTCCATCAAAAGGAGGGTTCAACTGTGTGACTTGAATGCAATCATCACTCAGAAGTTTCTGAGAATGCTTTCTCTTTAGTTTTTACGTGAACATATACCCGTTTCGAACGAAGGCCAGCCAGTGGTCCAAATATCAACTTGCAGATTCTACAGAAAGAGTGTTTCGAACCTGAACTCTCAAATGCAGGTTCATCTCTGCGAGTTAAATGCATTCATCATGAAGAACTTTCTCAGAGTGTTTGTGTTTAGTTATGGGAAATTATTCCCGTTTCCAACGAAATCCTCAGAGAGCTCCAAATATCCACCTGCAGATTCTACCAAAAGTGTATTTGGAAACTGCTCCATCAAAAGGCATGTTCAGCTCTGTGAGTGAAACTCCATCATCACAAAGAATATTCTGAGAATGCTTCCGTTTGCCTTTTATCTGAAGTTCCTTCCTATACGACCGTAGGCCTCAAAGCAGTCCAAATCTCCATTTGCAGATTCTACAAAAAGAGTGATTCCAATCTGCTCTATCAATAGGATTGTTCAACTCCATGAGTTGAATGCCATCCTCACAAAGTAGTTTCTGAGAATGCTTCTATCTAGTTTTTATGTGAAGGTATTTCCTTTTCCACCACAGGCCTCCAAGCCCTCCAAACGTCCACTTGCAGATTCTCGAAAAAGAGTGTTTCATAGCTGCTCTTTCAAAAGGAAAGTTCAACTCTGGGAGTTGAATACAAACATCACAAAGTAGTTTCCGAGAATGCTTCTGTTTAGTTTTTATGTGAAGATGATCCCGTTTCCAGTTAAATCTTCAAAGAGGTCCACATATCCCCTTGCAGATTCCAAAGAAAGAGGGTTTCAAAACTGCTCCATCAGAAGGATTGTTCAACTCTGTGAGTTGAATGCAGTCATCGCAGAAAACTTTCTGAGAATGCTTCTGTCTAGGTTTGATGTGAAGATATAGACGTTTCAAACGAAGGCTACAAAGTGGTCAAAATATACACTTGCAGATTCTACTACAAGGGTGTTGCAAACCTGAACTATCAAAGGAAGGTTCAACTCTGTGAGTTGAATACAAACATCACAAAGAATGTTCTGAGTTTGCTTCCGTTCAGTTATGGGAAGTTGATCCCGTTTCCAACGAAATCCTCAGAGAGGTCCAAATATCCCCTTGCAGATTCTACAAAACGTGTGTTTGGAAACTGCTCCATCATAACGAATGTTCAGCTCCCTGAGTTAAACTCCATCGTCACAAAGAATTTTCTGAGAGTGCTACCGTCTGGTTTTTATATGAAGTTCTTTCCTTCACTACCACAGGCCTCAAAGCGGTCCAAATCTCCACTTGCAGATTCTACAAAAAGAGTGTTTGCAAACTGCTCTATCAAAAGGAATGTTCAACTCTGGGAGTTGAATGCAATCATCACAGAGCAGTTTCTGAGAATGCTTCTATGTCGTTTTTAGGAGAAGATATTTCCTTTTCCAACACAGTCCTCCAAGCCCGCTAAATAGCCACTTGCACATTGTAGAAAAAGTGTGTCAAAGCTGCGCTATCAAAGGGAAAGTTCAACTCTGTGAGGTGAATGCAAACATCCCAAAGAAGTTTCTGAGAATGCTTCCGTTTAGCTTTTAGGTGAAGATTATCCCGTTTCCAACGAAACCTTCAAAGAGGTCCAAATATCCCCTTGCGGATCCCACAGAAAGAGTGTTTCGAAACTGCTGTTTCAAAAGGAATCTTCAACTCTGTGAGTTGAATGCAATCATCACAAAGAAGTTTCTGACAATGCTTCTCTCTCGTCTTCCTGTGAAGATAAAGGAAAAGGCTTTCAGGCCTTTTCCACCACAGGCCTGAAAGCGCTCCAAATGTCCACTTGCAGATTCTGCCAAAAGAATATTTCAAAACTGCTCTATGAAAAGCAATGTTAAACTCTGTGGCTCGAACACAAACATCACAAAGCAGTTTCTGAGAATGCTTCAGTTTAGTTTTTCTGTGGAAATATTCCCGTTTCCAAAGAAATCTTCAAAGAGGTCCACGTATCCACTTACAGATTCTACAAAAAGACAGTTTCAAAACTGCTCCATCAAAAGGAGGGTTCAACCATGTGACTTGAATGCAATCATCACTCAGAAGTTTCTGAGAATGCTTCTTTTTAGTTTTTATGTGAACATATACCCGTTTCGAACGAAGGCCACCCAGTGGTCCAAATATCCACTTGCAGATTCTACAGAAAGAGTGTTTCGAACCTGAACTCTCAAAGGCAGGTTCATCTCTGCGAGTTAAATGCATTCATCATGAAGAACTTTCTCAGAGTGTTTGTGTTTAGTTATGGGAAATTATTCCCGTTTCCAACGAAATCCTCAGAGAGCTCCAAATATCCACCTGCAGATTCTACCAAAAGTGTATTTGGAAACTGCTCCATCAAAAGGCATGTTCAGCTCTGTGAGTGAAACTCCATCATCACAAAGAATATTCTGAGAATGCTTCCGTTTGCCTTTTATATGAAGTTCCTTCCTATACTACCGTAGGCCTCAAAGCAGTCCAAATCTCCATTTGCAGATTCTACAAAAAGAGTGATTCCAATCTGCTCTATCAATAGGATTGTTCAACTCCATGAGTTGAATTCCATCCTCACAATGTCGTTTGTGAGAATGCTTCTATCTAGTTTTTATGTGAAGATATTTCCTTTTCCACCACAGGCCTCAAAGCCCTCCAAACGTCCACTTGCAGATTCTCGAAAAAGAGTGTTTCATAGCTGCTCTTCCAAAAGGAAAGTTCAACTCTGGGAGTTGAATACAAACATCCCAAAGTAGTTTCCGAGAATGCTTATATTTAGTTTTTATGTGAAGATGATCCCGTTTCCAGTGAAATCTTCAAAGAGGTCCACATATTCCCTTGCAGATTCCAAAGAAAGAGGGTTTCAAAACTGCTCCATCAGAAGGATTGTTCAACTCTGTGAGTTGAATGCAGTCATCGCAGAAAACTTTCTAAGAATGCTTCTGTCTAGGTTTGATGTGAAGATATAGACGTTTCAAACGAAGGCTACAAAGTGGTCAAAATATACACTTGCAGATTCTACTACAAGGGTGTTGCAAACCTGAACTATCAAAGGAAGGTTCAACTCTGTGAGTTGAATACAAACATCACAAAGAATGTTCTGAGTTTGCTTCCGTTCAGTTATGGGAAGTTGATCCCGTTTCCAACGAAATCCTCAGAGAGGTCCAAATATCCCCTCGCAGATTCTACAAAACGTGTGTTTGGAAACTGCTCCATCATAACGAATGTTCAGCTCCCTGAGTTAAACTCCATCGTCACAAAGAATTTTCTGAGAGTGCTACCGTCTGGTTTTTATATGAAGTTCTTTCCTTCACTACCACAGGCCTCAAAGCGGTCCAAATCTCCACTTGCAGATTCTACAAAAAGAGTGTTTGCAAACTGCTCTATCAAAAGGAATGTTCAACTCTGGGAGTTGAATGCAATCATCACAGAGCAGTTTCTGAGAATGCTTCTATGTCGTTTTTAGGAGAAGATATTTCCTTTTCCAACACAGTCCTCCAAGCCCGCTAAATAGCCACTTGCACATTGTAGAAAAAGTGTGTCAAAGCTGCGCTATCAAAGGGAAAGTTCAACTCTGTGAGGTGAATGCAAACATCCCAAAGAAGTTTCTGAGAATGCTTCCGTTTAGCTTTTAGGTGAAGATTATCCCGTTTCCAACGAAACCTTCAAAGAGGTCCAAATATCCCCTTGCGGATCCCACAGAAAGAGTGTTTCGAAACTGCTGTTTCAAAAGGAATCTTCAACTCTGTGAGTTGAATGCAATCATCACAAAGAAGTTTCTGACAATGCTTCTCTCTCGTCTTTCTGTGAAGATAAAGGAAAAGGCTTTCAGGCCTTTTCCACCACAGGCCTGAAAGCGCTCCAAATGTCCACTTGCAGATTCTGCGAAAAGAATATTTCAAAACTGCTCTATGAAAAGCAATGTTAAACTCTGTGGCTCGAACACAAACATCACAAAGCAGTTTCTGAGAATGATTCAGTTTAGTTTTTCTGTGGAAATATTCCCGTTTCCAAAGAAATCTTCAAAGAGGTCCACGTATCCACTTACAGATTCTACAAAAAGACAGTTTCAAAACTGCTCCATCAAAAGGAGTGTTCAACTGTGTGACTTGAATGCAATCATCACTCAGAAGTTTCTGAGAATGCTTCTCTTTAGTTTTTACGTGAACATATACCCGTTTCGAACGAAGGCCACCCAGTGGTCCAAATATCCACTTGCAGATTCTACAGAAAGAGTGTTTCGAACATGAACTCTCAAAGGCAGGTTCATCTCTGCGAGTTAAATGCATTCATCATGAAGAACTTTCTCAGAGTGTTTGTGTTTAGTTATGGGAAATTATTCCCGTTTCCAACGAAATCCTCAGAGAGCTCCAAATATCCACCTGCAGATTCTACCAAAAGTGTATTTGGAAACTGCTCCATCAAAAGGCATGTTCCGCTCTGTGAGTGAAACTCCATCATCACAAAGAATATTCTGAGAATGCTTCCGTTTGCCTTTTATATGAAGTTCCTTCCTATACGACCGTAGGCCTCAAAGCAGTCCAAATCTCCATTTGCAGATTCTACAAAAAGAGTGATTCCAATCTGCTCTATCAATAGGATTGTTCAACTCCATGAGTTGAATGCCATCCTCACAAAGTCGTTTCTGAGAATGCTTCTATCTAGTTTTTATGTGAAGATATTTCCTTTTCCACCACAGGCCTCAAAGCCCTCCAAACGTCCACTTGCAGATTCTCGAAAAAGAGTGTTTCATAGCTGCTCTTTCAAAAGGAAAGTTCAACTCTGGGAGTTGAATACAAACATCACAAAGTAGTTTCCGAGAATGCTTCTGTTTAGTTTTTATGTGAAGATGATCCCGTTTCCAGTGAAATCTTCAAAGAGGTCCACATATCCCCTTGCAGATTCCAAAGAAAGAGGGTTTCAAAACTGCTCCATCAGAAGGATTGTTCAACTCTGTGAGTTGAATGCAGTCATCGCAGAAAACTTTCTGAGAATGCTTCTGTCTAGGTTTGATGTGAAGATATAGACGTTTCAAACGAAGGCTACAAAGTGGTCAAAATATACACTTGCAGATTCTACTACAAGGGTGTTGCAAACCTGAACTATCAAAGGAAGGTTCAACTCTGTGAGTTGAATACAAACATCACAAAGAATGTTCTGAGTTTGCTTCCGTTCAGTTATGGGAAGCTGATCCCGTTTCCAACGAAATCCTCAGAGAGGTCCAAATATCCCCTTGCAGATTCTACAAAACGTGTGTTTGGAAACTGCTCCATCATAACGAATGTTCAGCTCCCTGAGTTAAACTCCATCGTCACAAAGAATTTTCTGAGAGTGCTACCGTCTGGTTTTTATATGAAGTTCTTTCCTTCACTACCACTGGCCTCAAAGCGGTCCAAATCTCCACTTGCAGATTCTACAAAAAGAGTGTTTGCAAACTGCTCTATCAAAAGGAATGTTCAACTCTGGGAGTTGAATGCAATCATCACAGAGCAGTTTCTGAGAATGCTTCTATGTCGTTTTTAGGAGAAGATATTTCCTTTTCCAACACAGTCCTCCAAGCCCGCTAAATAGCCACTTGCACATTGTAGAAAAAGTGTGTCAAAGCTGCGCTATCAAAGGGAAAGTTCAACTCTGTGAGGTGAATGCAAACATCCCAAAGAAGTTTCTGAGAATGCTTCCGTTTAGCTTTTAGGTGAAGATTATCCCGTTTCCAACGAAACCTTCAAAGAGGTCCAAATATCCCCTTGCGGATCCCACAGAAAGAGTGTTTCGAAACTGCTGTTTCAAAAGGAATCTTCAACTCTGTGAGTTGAATGCAATCATCACAAAGAAGTTTCTGACAATGCTTCTCTCTCGTCTTTCTGTGAAGATAAAGGAAAAGGCTTTCAGGCCTGTTCCACCACAGGCCTGAAAGCGCTCCAAATGTCCACTTGCAGATTCTGCGAAAAGAATATTTCAAAACTGCTCTATGAAAAGCAATGTTAAACTCTGTGGCTGGAACACAAACATCACAAAGCGGTTTCTGAGAATGTTTCAGTTTAGTTTTTCTGTGGAAATATTCCCGTTTCCAAAGAAATCTTCAAAGAGGTCCATGTATCCACTTACAGATTCTACAAAAAGACAGTTTCAAAACTGCTCCATCAAAAGGAGGGTTCAACTGTGTGACTTGAATGCAATCATCACTCAGAAGTTTCTGAGAATGCTTCTCTTTAGTTTTTACGTGAACATATACCCGTTTCGAACGAAGGCCACCCAGTGGTCCAAATATCCACTTGCAGATTCTACAGAAAGAGTGTTTCGAACCTGAACTCTCAAAGGCAGGTTCATCTCTGCGAGTTAAATGCATTCATCATGAAGAACTTTCTCAGAGTGTTTGTGTTTAGTTATGGGAAATTATTCCCGTTTCCAACGAAATCCTCAGAGAGCTCCAAATATCCACCTGCAGATTCTACCAAAAGTGTATTTGGAAACTGCTCCATCAAAAGGCATGTTCAGCTCTGTGAGTGAAACTCCATCATCACAAAGAATATTCTGAGAATGCTTCCGTTTGCCTTTTATATGAAGTTCCTTCCTATACGACCGTAGGCCTCAAAGCAGTCCAAATCTCCATTTGCAGATTCTACAAAAAGAGTGATTCCAATCTGCTCTATCAATAGGATTGTTCAACTCCATGAGTTGAATGCCATCCTCACAAAGTCGTTTCTGAGAATGCTTCTATCTAGTTTTTATGTGAAGATATTTCCTTTTCCACCACAGGCCTCAAAGCCCTCCAAACGTCCACTTGCACATTCTCGAAAAAGACTGTTTCATAGCTGCTCTTTCAAAAGGAAAGTTCAACTCTGGGAGTTGAATACAAACATCACAAAGTAGTTTCCGAGAATGCTTCTGTTTAGTTCTTATGTGAAGATGATCCCGTTTCCAGTGAAATCTTCAAAGAGGTCCACATATCCTCTTGCAGATTCCAAAGAAAGAGGGTTTCAAAACTGCTCCATCAAAAGGATTGTTCAACTCTGTGAGTTGAATGCACTCATCGCAGAAAACTTTCTGAGAATGCTTCTGTCTAGGTTTGATGTGAAGATATAGACGTTTCAAACGAAGGCTACAAAGTGGTCAAAATATACACTTGCAGATTCTACTACAAGGGTGTTGCAAACCTGAACTATCAAAGGAAGGTTCAACTCTGTGAATTGAATACAAACATCACAAAGAATGTTCTGAGTTTGCTTCCGTTCAGTTATGGGAAGTTGATCCCGTTTCCAACGAAATCCTCAGAGAGGTCCAAATATCCCCTCGCAGATTCTACAAAACGTGTGTTTGGAAACTGCTCCATCATAACGAATGTTCAGCTCCCTGAGTTAAACTCCATCGTCACAAAGAATTTTCTGAGAGTGCTACCGTCTGGTTTTTATATGAAGTTCTTTCCTTCACTACCACAGGCCTCAAAGCGGTCCAAATCTCCACTTGCAGATTCTACAAAAAGAGTGTTTGCAAACTGCTCTATCAAAAGGAATGTTCAACTCTGGGAGTTGAATGCAATCATCACAGAGCAGTTTCTGAGAATGCTTCTATGTCGTTTTTAGGAGAAGATATTTCCTTTTCCAACACAGTCCTCCAAGCCCGCTAAATAGCCACTTGCACATTGTAGAAAAAGTGTGTCAAAGCTGCGCTATCAAAGGGAAAGTTCAACTCTGTGAGGTGAATGCAAACATCCCAAAGAAGTTTCTGAGAATGCTTCCGTTTAGCTTTTAGGTGAAGATTATCCCGTTTCCAACGAAACCTTCAAAGAGGTCCAAATATCCCCTTGCGGATCCCACAGAAAGAGTGTTTCGAAACTGCTGTTTCAAAAGGAATCTTCAACTCTGTGAGTTGAATGCAATCATCACAAAGAAGTTTCTGACAATGCTTCTCTCTCGTCTTTCTGTGAAGATAAAGGAAAAGGCTTTCAGGCCTTTTCCACCACAGGCCTGAAAGCGCTCCAAATGTCCACTTGCAGATTCTGCCAAAAGAATATTTCAAAACTGCTCTATGAAAAGCAATGTTAAACTCTGTGGCTCGAACACAAACATCACAAAGCGGTTTCTGAGAATGCTTCAGTTTAGTTTTTCTGTGGAAATATTCCCGTTTCCAAAGAAATCTTCAAAGAGGTCCACGTATCCACTTACAGATTCTACAAAAAGACAGTTTCAAAACTGCTCCATCAAAAGGAGGGTTCAACTGTGTGACTTGAATGCAATCATCACTCAGAAGTTTCTGAGAATGCTTCTCTTTAGTTTTTACATGAACATATACCCGTTTCGAACGAAGGCCACCCAGTGGTCCAAATATCCACTTGCAGATTCTACAGAAAGAGTGTTTCGAACCTGAACTCTCAAAGGCAGGTTCATCTCTGCGAGTTAAATGCATTCATCATGAAGAACTTTCTCAGAGTGTTTGTGTTTAGTTATGGGAAATTATTCCCGTTTCCAACGAAATCCTCAGAGAGCTCCAAATATCCACCTGCAGATTCTACCAAAAGTGTATTTGGAAACTGCTCCATCAAAAGGCATGTTCAGCTCTGTGAGTGAAACTCCATCATCACAAAGAATATTCTGAGAATGCTTCCGTTTGCCTTTTATATGAAGTTCCTTCCTATACTACCGTAGGCCTCAAAGCAGTCCAAATCTCCATTTGCAGATTCTACAAAAAGAGTGATTCCAATCTGCTCTACCAATAGGATTGTTCAACTCCATGAGTTGAATGCCATCCTCACAAAGTCGTTTCTGAGAAAGCTTCTATCTAGTTTTTATGTGAAGATATTTCCTTTTCCACCACAGGCCTCAAAGCCCTCCAAACGTCCACTTGCAGATTCTCGAAAAAGAGTGTTTCATAGCTGCTCTTTCAAAAGGAAAGTTCAACTCTGGGAGTTGAATACAAACATCACAAAGTAGTTTCCGAGAATGCTTCTGTTTAGTTTTTATGTGAAGATGATCCCGTTTCCAGTGAAATCTTCAAAGAGGTCCACATATCCCCTTGCAGATTCCAAAGAAAGAGGGTTTCAAAACTGCTCCATCAGAAGGATTGTTCAACTCTGTGAGTTGAATGCAGTCATCGCAGAAAACTTTCTGAGAATGCTTCTGTCTAGGTTTGATGTGAAGATATAGACGTTTCAAACGAAGGCTACAAAGTGGTCAAAATATACACTTGCAGATTCTACTACAAGGGTGTTGCAAACCTGAACTATCAAAGGAAGGTTCAACTCTGTGAGTTGAATACAAACATCACAAAGAATGTTCTGAGTTTGCTTCCGTTCAGTTATGGGAAGTTGATCCCGTTTCCAACGAAATCCTCAGAGAGGTCCAAATATCCCCTTGCAGATTCTACAAAACGTGTGTTTGGAAACTGCTCCATCATAACGAATGTTCAGCTCCCTGAGTTAAACTCCATCGTCACAAAGAATTTTCTGAGAGTGCTACCGTCTGGTTTTTATATGAAGCTCTTTCCTTCACTACCACAGGCCTCAAAGCGGTCCAAATCTCCACTTGCAGATTCTACAAAAAGAGTGTTTGCAAACTGCTCTATCAAAAGGAATGTTCAACTCTGGGAGTTGAATGCAATCATCACAGAGCAGTTTCTGAGAATGCTTCTATGTCGTTTTTAGGAGAAGATATTTCCTTTTCCAACACAGTCCTCCAAGCCCGCTAAATAGCCACTTGCACATTGTAGAAAACGTGTGTCAAAGCTGCGCTATCAAAGGGAAAGTTCAACTCTGTGAGGTGAATGCAAACATCCCAAAGAAGTTTCTGAGAATGCTTCCGTTTAGCTTTTAGGTGAAGATTATCCCGTTTCCAACGAAACCTTCAAAGAGGTCCAAATATCCCCTTGCGGATCCCACAGAAAGAGTGTTTCGAAACTGCTGTTTCAAAAGGAATCTTCAACTCTGTGAGTTGAATGCAATCATCACAAAGAAGTTTCTGACAATGCTTCTCTCTCGTCTTTCTGTGAAGATAAAGGAAAAGGCTTTCAGGCCTTTTCCACCACAGGCCTGAAAGCGCTCCAAATGTCCACTTGCAGATTCTGCCAAAAGAATATTTCAAAACTGCTCTATGAAAAGCAATGTTAAACTCTGTGGCTCGAACACAAACATCACAAAGCGGTTTCTGAGAATGCTTCAGTTTAGTTTTTCTGTGGAAATATTCCCGTTTCCAAAGAAATCTTCAAAGAGGTCCACGTATCCACTTACAGATTCTACAAAAAGACAGTTTCAAAACTGCTCCATCAAAAGGAGGGTTCAACTGTGTGACTTGAATGCAATCATCACTCAGAAGTTTCTGAGAATGCTTCTCTTTAGTTTTTACGTGAACATATACCCGTTTCGAACGAAGGCCACCCAGTGGTCCAAATATCCACTTGCAGATTCTACAGAAAGAGTGTTTCGAACCTGAACTCTCAAAGGCAGGTTCATCTCTGCGAGTTAAATGCATTCATCATGAAGAACTTTCTCAGAGTGTTTGTGTTTAGTTATGGGAAATTATTCCCGTTTCCAACGAAATCCTCAGAGAGCTCCAAATATCCACCTGCAGATTCTACCAAAAGTGTATTTGGAAACTGCTCCATCAAAAGGCATGTTCAGCTCTGTGAGTGAAACTCCATCATCACAACGAATATTCTGAGAATGCTTCCGTTTACCTTTTATATGAAGTTCCTTCCTATACGACCGTAGGCCTCAAAGGAGTCCAAATCTCCATTTGCAGATTCTACAAAAAGAGTGATTCCAATCTGCTCTATCAATAGGATTGTTCAACTCCATGAGTTGAATGCCATCCTCACAAAGTAGTTTCTGAGAATGCTTCTATCTAGTTTTTATGTGAAGATATTTCCTTTTCCACCACAGGCCTCAAAGCCCTCCAAACGTCCACTTGCAGATTCTCGAAAAAGAGTGTTTCATAGCTGCTCTTTCAAAAGGAAAGTTCAACTCTGGGAGTTGAATACAAACATCACAAAGTAGTTTCCGAGAATGCTTCTGTTTAGTTTTTATGTGAAGATGATCCCGTTTCCAGTGAAATCTTCAAAGAGGTCCACATATCCCCTTGCAGATTCCAAAGAAAGAGGGTTTCAAAACTGCTCCATCAAAAGGATTGTTCAACTCTGTGAGTTGAATGCAGTCATCGCAGAAAACTTTCTGAGAATGCTTCTTTCTAGGTTTGATGTGAAGATATAGACGTTTCAAACGAAGGCTACAAAGTGGTCAAAATATACACTTGCAGATTCTACTACAAGGGTGTTGCAAACCTGAACTATCAAAGGAAGGTTCAACTCTGTGAGTTGAATACAAACATCACAAAGAATGTTCTGAGTTTGCTTCCGTTCAGTTATGGGAAGTTGATCCCGTTTCCAACGAAATCCTCAGAGAGGTCCAAATATCCCCTCGCAGATTCTACAAAACGTGTGTTTGGAAACTGCTCCATCATAACGAATGTTCAGCTCCCTGAGTTAAACTACATCGTCACAAAGAATTTTCTGAGAGTGCTACCGTCTGGTTTTTATATGAAGTTCTTTCCTTCACTACCACAGGCCTCAAAGCGGTCCAAATCTCCACTTGCAGATTCTACAAAAAGAGTGTTTGCAAACTGCTCTATCAAAAGGAATGTTCAACTCTGGGAGTTGAATGCAATCATCACAGAGCAGTTTCTGAGAATGCTTCTATGTCGTTTTTAGGAGAAGATATTTCCTTTTCCAACACAGTCCTCCAAGCCCGCTAAATAGCCACTTGCACATTGTAGAAAAAGTGTGTCAAAGCTGCGCTATCAAAGGGAAAGTTCAACTCTGTGAGGTGAATGCAAACATCCCAAAGAAGTTTCTGAGAATGCTTCCGTTTAGCTTTTAGGTGAAGATTATCCCGTTTCCAACGAAACCTTCAAAGAGGTCCAAATATCCCCTTGCGGATCCCACAGAAAGAGTGTTTCGAAACTGCTGTTTCAAAAGGAATCTTCAACTCTGTGAGTTGAATGCAATCATCACAAAGAAGTTTCTGACAATGCTTCTCTCTCGTCTTTCTGTGAAGATAAAGGAAAAGGCTTTCAGGCCTTTGCCACCACAGGCCTGAAAGCGCTCCAAATGTCCACTTGCAGATTCTGCGAAAAGAATATTTCAAAACTGCTCTATGAAAAGCAATGTTAAACTCTGTGGCTCGAACACAAACATCACAAAGCAGTTTCTGAGAATGCTTCAGTTTAGTTTTTCTGTGGAAATATTCCCGTTTCCAAAGAAATCTTCAAAGAGGTCCACGCATCCACTTACAGATTCTACAAAAAGACAGTTTCAAAACTGCTCCATCAAAAGGAGGGTTCAACTGTGTGACTTGAATGCAATCATCACTCAGAAGTTTCTGAGAATGCTTCTCTTTAGTTTTTACGTGAACATATACCCGTTTCGAACGAAGGCCACCCAGTGGTCCAAATATCCACTTGCAGATTCTACAGAAAGAGTGTTTCGAACCTGAACTCTCAAAGGCAGGTTCATCTCTGCGAGTTAAATGCATTCATCATGAAGAACTTTCTCAGAGTGTTTGTGTTTAGTTATGGGAAATTATTCCCGTTTCCAACGAAATCCTCAGAGAGCTCCAAATATCCACCTGCAGATTCTACCAAAAGTGTATTTGGAAACTGCTCCATCAAAAGGCATGTTCAGCTCTGTGAGTGAAACTCCATCATCACAAAGAATATTCTGAGAATGCTTCCGTTTGCCTTTTATATGAAGTTCCTTCCTGTACTACCGTAGGCCTCAAAGCAGTCCAAATCTCCATTTGCAGATTCTATAAAAAGAGTGATTCCAATCTGCTCTATCAATAGGATTGTTCAACTCCATGAGTTGAATGCCATCCTCACAAAGTAGTTTCTGAGAATGCTTCTATCTAGTTTTTATGTGAAGATATTTCCTTTTCCACCACAGGCCTCAAAGCCCTCCAAACGTCCACTTGCAGATTCTCGAAAAAGAGTGTTTCATAGCTGCTCTTTCAAAAGGAAAGTTCAACTCTGGGAGTTGAATACAAACATCACAAAGTAGTTTCCGAGAATGCTTCTGTTTAGTTTTTATGTGAAGATGATCCCGTTTCCAGTGAAATCTTCAAAGAGGTCCACATATCCCCTTGCAGATTCCAAAGAAAGAGGGTTTAAAAACTGCTCCATCAGAAGGATTGTTCAACTCCTGTGAGTTGAATGCAGTCATCGCAGAAAACTTTCTGAGAATGCTTCTGTCTAGGTTTGATGTGAAGATATAGACGTTTCAAACGAAGGCTACAAAGTGGTCAAAATATACACTTGCAGATTCTACTACAAGGGTGTTGCAAACCTGAACTATCAAAGGAAGGTTCAACTCTGTGAGTTGAATACAAACATCACAAAGAATGTTCTGAGTTTGCTTCCGTTCAGTTATGGGAAGTTGATCCCGTTTCCAACGAAATCCTCAGAGAGGTCCAAATATCCCCTTGCAGATTCTACAAAACGTGTGTTTGGAAACTGCTCCATCATAACGAATGTTCAGCTCCCTGAGTTAAACTCCATCGTCACAAAGAATTTTCTGAGAGTGCTACCGTCTAGTTTTTATATGAAGTTCTTTCCTTTACTACCACAGGCCTCAAAGCGGTCCAAATCTCCACTTGCAGATTCTACAAAAAGAGTGTCTGCAAACTGCTCTATCAAAAGGAATGTTCAACTCTGGGAGTTGAATGCAATCATCACAGAGCAGTTTCTGAGAAGGCTTCTATGTCGTTTTTAGGAGAAGATATTTCCTTTTCCAACACAGTCCTCCAAGCCCGCTAAATAGCCACTTGCACATTGTAGAAAAAGTGTGTCGAAGCTGCGCTATCAAAGGGAAAGTTCAACTCTGTGAGGTGAATGCAAACATCCCAAAGAAGTTTCTGAGAATGCTTCCGTTTAGCTTTTAGGTGAAGATTATCCCGTTTCCAACGAAACCTTCAAAGAGGTCCAAATATCCCCTTGCGGATCCCACAGAAAGAGTGTTTCGAAACTGCTGTTTCAAAAGGAATCTTCAACTCTGTGAGTTGAATGCAATCATCACAAAGAAGTTTCTGACAATGCTTCTCTCTCGTCTTTCTGTGAAGATAAAGGAAAAGGCTTTCAGGCCTTTTCCACCACAGGCCTGAAAGCGCTCCAAATGTCCACTTGCAGATTCTGCGAAAAGAATATTTCAAAACTGCTCTATGAAAAGCAAAGTTAAACTCTGTGGCTCGAACACAAACATCACAAAGCGGTTTCTGAGAATGCTTCAGTTTAGTTTTTCTGTGGAAATATTCCCGTTTCCAAAGAAATCTTCAAAGAGGTCCACGTATCCACTTACAGATTCTACAAAAAGACAGTTTCAAAACTGCTCCATCAAAAGGAGGGTTCAACCGTGTGACTTGAATGCAATCATCACTCAGAAGTTTCTGAGAATGCTTCTCTTTAGTTTTTACGTGAACATATACCCGTTTCGAACGAAGGCCAGCCAGTGGTCCAAATATCCACTTGCAGATTCTACAGAAAGAGTGTTTCGAACCTGAACTCTCAAAGGCAGGTTCATCTCTGCGAGTTAAATGCATTCATCATGAAGAACTTTCTCAGAGTGTTTGTGTTTAGTTATGGGAAATTATTCCCGTTTCCAACGAAATCCTCAGAGAGCTCCAAATATCCACCTGCAGATTCTACCAAAAGTGTATTTGGAAACTGCTCCCATCTCAAAAGGCATGTTCAGCTCTGTGAGTGAAACTCCATCATCACAAAGAATATTCTGAGAATGCTTCCGTTTGCCTTTTATATGAAGTTCCTTCCTATACGACCGGAGGCCTCAAAGCAGTCCAAATCTCCATTTGCAGATTCTACAAAAAGAGTGATTCCAATCTGCTCTATCAATAGGATTGTTCAACTCCATGAGTTGAATGCCATCCTCACAAAGTCGTTTCTGAGAATGCTTCTATTCTAGTTTTTATGTGAAGATATTTCCTTTTCCACCACAGGCCTCAAAGCCCTCCAAACGTCCACTTGCAGATTCTCGAAAAAGAGTGTTTCATAGCTGCTCTTTCAAAAGGAAAGTTCAACTCTGGGAGTTGAATACAAACATCACAAAGTAGTTTCCGAGAATGCTTCTGTTTAGTTCTTATGTGAAGATGATCCCGTTTCCAGTGAAATCTTCAAAGAGGTCCACATATCCCCTTGCAGATTCCAAAGAAAGAGGGTTTCAAAACTGCTCCATCAAAAGGATTGTTCAACTCCGTGAGTTGAATGCAGTCATCGCAGAAAACTTTCTGAGAATGCTTCTGTCTAGGTTTGATGTGAAGATATAGACGTTTCAAACGAAGGCTACAAAGTGGTCAAAATATACACTTGCAGATTCTACTACAAGGGTGTTGCAAACCTTAACTATCAAAGGAAGGTTCAACTCTGTGAGTTGAATACAAACATCGCAAAGAATGTTCTGAGTTTGCTTCCGTTCAGTTATGGGAAGTTGATCCCGTTTCCAACGAAATCCTCAGAGAGGTCCAAATATCCCCTTGCAGATTCTACAAAACGTGTGTTTGGAAACAGCTCCATCATAACGAATGTTCAGCTCTCTGAATTAAACTCCATCGTCACAAAGAATTTTCTGAGAGTGCTACCTTCTAGTTTTTATATCAAGTTCTTTCCTTTACTACCACAGGCCTCAAAGCGGTCCAAATCTCCACTTGCAGATTCTACAAAAAGAGTGTCTGCAAACTGCTCTATCAAAAGGAATGTTCAACTCTGGGAGTTGAATGCAATCATCACAGAGCAGTTTCTGAGAATGCTTCTATGTCGTTTTTAGGAGAAGATATTTCCTTTTCCAACACAGTCCTCCAAGCCCGCTAAATATCCACTTGCACATTGTAGAAAAAGTGTGTCGAAGCTGCGCTATCAAAGGGAAAGTTCAACTCTGTGAGGTGAATGCAAACATCCCAAAGAAGTTTCTGAGAATGCTTCCGTTTAGCTTTTAGGTGAAGATTATCCCGTTTCCAACGAAATCTTCAAAGAGGTCCAAATATACCCTCGCGGATCCCACAGAAAGAGTGTTTCGAAACTGCTGTTTCAAAAGGAATCATCAACTCTGTGAGTTGAATGCAATCATCACAAAGAAGTTTCTGACAATGCTTCTCTCTCGTCTTTCTGTGAAGATAAAGGAAAAGGCTTTCAGGCCTTTTCCCACCACAGGCCTGAAAGCGCTCCAAATGTCCACTTGCAGATTCTGTGAAAAGAATATTGCAAAACTGCTCTATGAAAAGCAATGTTAAACTCTGTGGCTCGAACACAAACATCACAAAGCAGTTTCTGAGAATGCTTCAGTTTAGTTTTTCTGTGGAAATATTCCCGTTTCCAAAGAAATCTTCAAAGAGGTCCACGTATCCACTTACAGATTCTACAAAAAGACAGTTTCAAAACTGCTCCATCAAAAGGAGGGTTCAACTGTGTGACTTGAATGCAATCATCACTCAGAAGTTTCTGAGAATGCTTCTCTTTAGTTTTTACGTGAACATATACCCGTTTCGAACGAAGGCCACCCAGTGGTCCAAATATCCACTTGCAGATTCTACAGAAAGAGTGTTTCGAACCTGAACTCTCAAAGGCAGGTTCATCTCTGCGAGTTAAATGCATTCATCATGAAGAACTTTCTCAGAGTGTTTGTGTTTAGTTATGGGAAATTATTCCCGTTTCCAACGAAATCCTCAGAGAGCTCCAAATATCCACCTGCAGATTCTACCAAAAGTGTATTTGGAAACTGCTCCATCAACAGGCATGTTCAGCTCTGTGAGTGAAACTCCATCATCACAAAGAATATTCTGAGAATGCTTCCGTTTGCCTTTTATATGAAGTTCCTTCCTATACGACCGTAGGCCTCAAAGCAGTGCAAATCTCCATTTGCAGATTCTACAAAAAGAGTGATTCCAATCTGCTCTATCAATAGGATTGTTCAACTCCATGAGTTGAATGCCATCCTCACAAAGTCGTTTCTGAGAATGCTTCTATCTAGTTTTTATGTGAAGATATTTCCATTTCCACCACAGGCCTCAAAGCCCTCCAAACGTCCACTTGCAGATTCTCGAAAAAGAGTGTTTCATAGCTGCTCTTTCAAAAGGAAAGTTCAACTCTGGGAGTTGAATACAAACATCACAAAGTAGTTTCCGAGAATGCTTCTGTTTAGTTTTTATGTGAAGATGATCCCGTTTCCAGTGAAATCTTCAAAGAGGTCCACATATCCCCTTGCAGATTCCAAAGAAAGAGGGTTTCAAAACTGCTC
Organism: Homo sapiens; assembly: GCF_000001405.40. Classification (NCBI taxonomy): domain Eukaryota; kingdom Metazoa; phylum Chordata; class Mammalia; order Primates; family Hominidae; genus Homo; species Homo sapiens. Next base: position 58,672,856 of record NC_000023.11, on the reverse strand, counting down.
CATCAGAAGGATTGTTCAACTCTGTGAGTTGAATGCAGTCATCGCAGAAAACTTTCTGAGAATGCTTCTGTCTAGGTTTGATGTGAAGATATAGACGTTTCAAATGAAGGCTACAAAGTGGTCAAAATATACACTTGCAGATTCTACTACAAGGGTGTTGCAAACCTGAACTATCAAAGGAAGGTTCAACTCTGTGAGTTGAATACAAACATCACAAAGAATGTTCTGAGTTTGCTTCCGTTCAGTTATGGGAAGTTGATCCCGTTTCCAACGAAATCCTCAGAGAGGTCCAAATATCCCCTTGCAGATTCTACAAAACGTGTGTTTGGAAACTGCTCCATCATAACGAATGTTCAGCTCCCTGAGTTAAACTCCATCGTCACAAAGAATTTTCTGAGAGTGCTACCGTCTGGTTTTTATATGAAGTTCTTTCCTTCACTACCACAGGCCTCAAAGCGGTCCAAATCTCCACTTGCAGATTCTACAAAAAGAGTGTTTGCAAACTGCTCTATCAAAAGGAATGTTCAACTCTGGGAGTTGAATGCAATCATCACAGAGCAGTTTCTGAGAATGCTTCTATGTCGTTTTTAGGAGAAGATATTTCCTTTTCCAACACAGTCCTCCAAGCCCGCTAAATAGCCACTTGCACATTGTAGAAAAAGTGTGTCAAAGCTGCGCTATCAAAGGGAAAGTTCAACTCTGTGAGGTGAATGCAAACATCCCAAAGAAGTTTCTGAGAATGCTTCCGTTTAGCTTTTAGGTGAAGATTATCCCGTTTCCAACGAAACCTTCAAAGAGGTCCAAATATCCCCTTGCGGATCCCACAGAAAGAGTGTTTCGAAACAGCTGTTTCAAAAGGAATCTTCAACTCTGTGAGTTGAATGCAATCATCACAAAGAAGTTTCTGACAATGCTTCTCTCTCGTCTTTCTGTGAAGATAAAGGAAAAGGCTTTCAGGCCTTTGCCACCACAGGCCTGAAAGCGCTCCAAATGTCCACTTGCAGATTCTGCGAAAAGAATATTTCAAAACTGCTCTATGAAAAGCAATGTTAAACTCTGTGGCTGGAACACAAACATCACAAAGCTGTTTCTGAGAATGTTTCAGTTTAGTTTTTCTGTGGAAATATTCCCGTTTCCAAAGAAATCTTCAAAGAGGTCCACGTATCCACTTACAGATTCTACAAAAAGACAGTTTCAAAACTGCTCCATCAAAAGGAGTGTTCAACTGTGTGACTTGAATGCAATCATCACTCAGAAGTTTCTGAGAATGCTTCTCTTTAGTTTTTACGTGAACATATACCCGTTTCGAACGAAGGCCACCCAGTGGTCCAAATATCCACTTGCAGATTCTACAGAAAGAGTGTTTCGAACCTGAACTCTCAAAGGCAGGTTCATCTCTGCGAGTTAAATGCATTCATCATGAAGAACTTTCTCAGAGTGTTTGTGCTTAGTTATGGGAAATTATTCCCGTTTCCAACGAAATCCTCAGAGTGGTCCAAATATCCACCTGCAGATTCTACCAAAAGTGTATTTGGAAACTGCTCCATCAAAAGGCATGTTCAGCTCTGTGAGTGAAACTCCATCATCACAAAGAATATTCTGAGAATGCTTCCGTTTGCCTTTTATCTGAAGTTCCTTCCTATACGACCGTAGGCCTCAAAGCAGTCCAAATCTCCATTTGCAGATTCTACAAAAAGAGTGATTCCAATCTGCTCTATCAATAGGATTGTTCAACTCCATGAGTTGAATGCCATCCTCACAAAGTCGTTTCTGAGAATGCTTCTATCTAGTTTTTATGTGAAGATATTTCCTTTTCCACCACAGGCCTCAAAGCCCTCCAAACGTCCACTTGCAGATTCTCGAAAAAGAGTGTTTTATAGCTGCTCTTTCAAAAGGAAAGTTCAACTCTGGGAGTTGAATACAAACATCACAAAGTAGTTTCCGAGAATGCTTCTGTTTAGTTTTTATGTGAAGATGATCCCGTTTCCAGTGAAATCTTCAAAGAGGTCCACATATCCCCTTGCAGATTCCAAAGAAAGAGGGTTTCAAAACTGCTCCATCAGAAGGATTGTTCAACTCTGTGAGTTGAATGCAGTCATCGCAGAAAACTTTCTGAGAATGCTTCTGTCTAGGTTTGATGTGAAGATATAGATGTTTCAAACGAAGGCTACAAAGTGGTCAAAATATACACTTGCAGATTCTACTACAAGGGTGTTGCAAACCTGAACTATCAAAGGAAGGTTCAACTCTGTGAGTTGAATACAAACATCACAAAGAATGTTCTGAGTTTGCTTCCGTTCAGTTATGGGAAGTTGATCCCATTTCCAACGAAATCCTCAGAGAGGTCCAAATATCCCTTTGCAGATTCTACAAAATGTGTGTTTGGAAACTGCTCCATCATAACGAATGTTCAGCTCTCTGAGTTAAACTCTATCGTCACAAAGAATTTTACTGAGAGTGCTACCGTCTGGTTTTTATATGAAGCTCTTTCCTTCACTACCACAGACCTCAAAGCGGTCCAAATCTCCACTTGCAGATTCTACAAAAAGAGTGTTTGCAAACTGCTCTATCAAAAGGAATGTTCAACTCTGGGAGTTGAATGCAATCATCACAGAGCAGTTTCTGAGAATGCTTCTATGTCGTTTTTAGGAGAAGATATTTCCTTTTCCAACACAGTCCTCCAAGCCCGCTAAATAGCCACTTGCACATTGTAGAAACAGTGTGTCAAAGCTGCGCTATCAAAGGGAAAGTTCAACTCTGTGAGGTGAATGCAAACATCCCAAAGAAGTTTCTGAGAATGCTTCCGTTTAGCTTTTAGGTGAAGATTATCCCGTTTCCAACGAAACCTTCAAAGAGGTCCAAATATCCCCTTGCGGATCCCACAGAAAGAGTGTTTCGAAACTGCTGTTTCAAAAGGAATCTTCAACTCTGTGAGTTGAATGCAATCATCACAAAGAAGTTTCTGACAATGCTTCTCTCTCGTCTTTCTGTGAAGATAAAGGAAAAGGCTTTCAGGCCTTTTCCACCACAGGCCTGAAAGCGCTCCAAATGTCCACTTGCAGATTCTGCCAAAAGAATATTTCAAAACTGCTCTATGAAAAGCAATGTTAAACTCTGTGGCTCGAACACAAACATCACAAAGCAGTTTCTGAGAATGCTTCAGTTTAGTTTTTCTGTGGAAATATTCCCGTTTCCAAAGAAATCTTCAAAGAGGTCCACGTATCCACTTACAGATTCTACAAAAAGACAGTTTCAAAACTGCTCCATCAAAAGGAGGGTTCAACTGTGTGACTTGAATGCAATCATCACTCAGAAGTTTCTGAGAATGCTTCTCTTTAGTTTTTACGTGAACATATACCCGTTTCGAACGAAGGCCACCCAGTGGTCCAAATATCCACTTGCAGATTCTACAGAAAGAGTGTTTCGAACCTGAACTCTCAAAGGCAGGTTCATCTCTGTGAGTTAAATGCATTCATCATGAAGAACTTTCTCAGAGTGTTTGTGTTTAGTTATGGGAAATTATTCCCGTTTCCAACGAAATCCTCAGAGAGCTCCAAATATCCACCTGCAGATTCTACCAAAAGTGTATTTGGAAACTGCTCCATCAAAAGGCATGTTCAGCTCTGTGAGTGAAACTCCATCATCACAAAGAATATTCTGAGAATGCTTCCGTTTGCCTTTTATATGAAGTTCCTTCCTGTACTACTGTAGGCCTCAAAGCAGTCCAAATCTCCATTTGCAGATTCTACAAAAAGAGTGATTCCAATCTGCTCTATCAATAGGATTGTTCAACTCCATGAGTTGAATGCCATCCTCACAAAGTAGTTTCTGAGAATGCTTCTATCTGGTTTTTGTGTGAAGATATTTCCTTTTCCACCACAGGCCTCAAAGCCCTCCAAACGTCCACTTGCAGATTCTCGAAAAAGAGTGTTTCATAGCTGCTCTTTCAAAAGGAAAGTTCAACTCTGGGAGTTGAATACAAACATCACAAAATAGTTTCCGAGAATGCTTCTGTTTAGTTTTTATGTGAAGATGATCCCGTTTCCAGTGAAATCTTCAAAGAGGTCCACATATCCCCTTGCAGATTCCAAAGAAAGAGGGTTTCAAAACTGCTCCATCAAAAGGATTGTTCAACTCTGTGAGTTGAATGCAGTCATCGCAGAAAACTTTCTGAGAATGCTTCTTTCTAGGTTTGATGTGAAGATATAGACGTTTCAAACGAAGGCTACAAAGTGGTCAAAATATACACTTGCAGATTCTACTACAAGGGTGTTGCAAACCTGAACTATCAAAGGAAGGTTCAACTCTGTGAGTTGAATACAAACATCACAAAGAATGTTCTGAGTTTGCTTCCGTTCAGTTATGGGAAGTTGATCCCGTTTCCAACGAAATCCTCAGAGAGGTCCAAATATCCCCTTGCAGATTCTACAAAACGTGTGTTTGGAAACTGCTCCATCATAACGAATGTTCAGCTCCCTGAGTTAAACTCCATCGTCACAAAGAATTTTCTGAGAGTGCTACCGTCTGGTTTTTATATGAAGTTCTTTCCTTCACTACCACAGGCCTCAAAGCGGTCCAAATCTCCACTTGCAGATTCTACAAAAAGAGTGTTTGCAAACTGCTCTATCAAAAGGAATGTTCAACTCTGGGAGTTGAATGCAATCATCACAGAGCAGTTTCTGAGAATGCTTCTATGTCGTTTTTAGGAGAAGATATTTCCTTTTCCAACACAGTCCTCCAAGCCCGCTAAATAGCCACTTGCACATTGTAGAAAAAGTGTGTCGAAGCTGCGCTATCAAAGGGAAAGTTCAACTCTGTGAGGTGAATGCAAACATCCCAAAGAAGTTTCTGAGAATGCTTCCGTTTAGCTTTTAGGTGAAGATTATCCCGTTTCCAACGAAACCTTCAAAGAGGTCCAAATATCCCCTTGCGGATCCCACAGAAAGAGTGTTTCGAAACTGCTGTTTCAAAAGGAATCTTCAACTCTGTGAGTTGAATGCAATCATCACAAAGAAGTTTCTGACAATGCTTCTCTCTCGTCTTTCTGTGAAGATAAAGGAAAAGGCTTTCAGGCCTTTTCCACCACAGGCCTGAAAGCGCTCCAAATGTCCACTTGCAGATTCTGCGAAAAGAATATTTCAAAACTGCTCTATGAAAAGCAAAGTTAAACTCTGTGGCTCGAACACAAACATCACAAAGCGGTTTCTGAGAATGCTTCAGTTTAGTTTTTCTGTGGAAATATTCCCGTTTCCAAAGAAATCTTCAAAGAGGTCCACGTATCCACTTACAGATTCTACAAAAAGACAGTTTCAAAACTGCTCCATCAAAAGGAGGGTTCAACTGTGTGACTTGAATGCAATCATCACTCAGAAGTTTCTGAGAATGCTTCTCTTTAGTTTTTACGTGAACATATACCCGTTTCGAACGAAGGCCAGCCAGTGGTCCAAATATCCACTTGCAGATTCTACAGAAAGAGTGTTTCGAACCTGAACTCTCAAAGGCAGGTTCATCTCTGCGAGTTAAATGCATTCATCATGAAGAACTTTCTCAGAGTGTTTGTGTTTAGTTATGGGAAATTATTCCCGTTTCCAACGAAATCCTCAGAGAGCTCCAAATATCCACCTGCAGATTCTACCAAAAGTGTATTTGGAAACTGCTCCATCAAAAGGCATGTTCAGCTCTGTGAGTGAAACTCCATCATCACAAAGAATATTCTGAGAATGCTTCCGTTTGCCTTTTATATGAAGTTCCTTCCTGTACTACCGTAGGCCTCAAAGCAGTCCAAATCTCCATTTGCAGATTCTACAAAAAGAGTGATTCCAATCTGCTCTATCAATAGGATTGTTCAACTCCATGAGTTGAATGCCATCCTCACAAAGTAGTTTCTGAGAATGCTTCTATCTGGTTTTTGTGTGAAGATATTTCCTTTTCCACCACAGGCCTCAAAGCCCTCCAAACGTCCACTTGCAGATTCTCGAAAAAGAGTGTTTCATAGCTGCTCTTTCAAAAGGAAAGTTCAACTCTGGGAGTTGAATACAAACATCACAAAATAGTTTCCGAGAATGCTTCTGTTTAGTTTTTATGTGAAGATGACCCCGTTTCCAGTGAAATCATCAAAGAGGTCCACATATCCCCTTGCAGATTCCAAAGAAAGAGGGTTTCAAAACTGCTCCATCAGAAGGATTGTTCAACTCTGTGAGTTGAATGCAGTCATCGCAGAAAACTTTCTGAGAATGCTTCTTTCTAGGTTTGATGTGAAGATATAGACGTTTCAAACGAAGGCTACAAAGTGGTCAAAATATACACTTGCAGATTCTACTACAAGGGTGTTGCAAACCTGAACTATCAAAGGAAGGTTCAACTCTGTGAGTTGAATACAAACATCACAAAGAATGTTCTGAGTTTGCTTCCGTTCAGTTATGGGAAGTTGATCCCGTTTCCAACGAAATCCTCAGAGAGGTCCAAATATCCCCTCGCAGATTCTACAAAACGTGTGTTTGGAAACTGCTCCATCATAACGAATGTTCAGCTCCCTGAGTTAAACTCCATCGTCACAAAGAATTTTCTGAGAGTGCTACCGTCTGGTTTTTATATGAAGTTCTTTCCTTCACTACCACAGGCCTCAAAGCGGTCCAAATCTCCACTTGCAGATTCTACAAAAAGAGTGTTTGCAAACTGCTCTATCAAAAGGAATGTTCAACTCTGGGAGTTGAATGCAATCATCACAGAGCAGTTTCTGAGAATGCTTCTATGTCGTTTTTAGGAGAAGATATTTCCTTTTCCAACACAGTCCTCCAAGCCCGCTAAATAGCCACTTGCACATTGTAGAAAAAGTGTGTCAAAGCTGCGCTATCAAAGGGAAAGTTCAACTCTGTGAGGTGAATGCAAACATCCCAAAGAAGTTTCTGAGAATGTTTCCGTTTAGCTTTTAGGTGAAGATTATCCCGTTTCCAACGAAACCTTCAAAGAGGTCCAAATATCCCCTTGCGGATCCCACAGAAAGAGTGTTTCGAAACTGCTGTTTCAAAAGGAATCTTCAACTCTGTGAGTTGAATGCAATCATCACAAAGAAGTTTCTGACAATGCTTCTCTCTCGTCTTTCTGTGAAGATAAAGGAAAAGGCTTTCAGGCCTTTTCCACCACAGGCCTGAAAGCGCTCCAAATGTCCACTTGTAGATTCTGCCAAAAGAATATTTCAAAACTGCTCTATGAAAAGCAATGTTAAACTCTGTGGCTCGAACACAAACATCACAAAGCAGTTTCTGAGAATGCTTCAGTTTAGTTTTTCTGTGGAAATATTCCCGTTTCCAAAGAAATCTTCAAAGAGGTCCACGTATCCACTTACAGATTCTACAAAAAGACAGTTTCAAAACTGCTCCATCAAAAGGAGGGTTCAACTGTGTGACTTGAATGCAATCATCACTCAGAAGTTTCTGAGAATGCTTCTCTTTAGTTTTTACGTGAACATATACCCGTTTTGAACGAAGGCCACCCAGTGGTCCAAATATCCACTTGCAGATTCTACAGAAAGAGTGTTTCGAACCTGAACTCTCAAAGGCAGGTTCATCTCTGCGAGTTAAATGCATTCATCATGAAGAACTTTCTCAGAGTGTTTGTGTTTAGTTATGGGAAATTATTCCCGTTTCCAACGAAATCCTCAGAGAGCTCCAAATATCCACCTGCAGTTTCTACCAAAAGTGTAGTTGGAAACTGCTCCATCAAAAGGCATGTTCAGCTCTGTGAGTGAAACTCCATCATCACAAAGAATATTCTGAGAATGCTTCCGTTTGCCTTTTATATGAAGTTCCTTCCTGTACTACCGTAGGCCTCAAAGCAGTCCAAATCTCCATTTGCAGATTCTACAAAAAGAGTGATTCCAATCTGCTCTATCAATAGGATTGTTCAACTCCATGAGTTGAATGCCATCCTCACAAAGTAGTTTCTGAGAATGCTTCTATCTAGTTTTTATGTGAAGATATTTCCTTTTCCACCACAGGCCTCAAAGCCCTCCAAACGTCCACTTTCAGATTCTCGAAAAAGAGTGTTTCATAGCTGCTCTTTCAAAAGGAAAGTTCAACTCTGGGAGTTGAATACAAACATCACAAAGTAGTTTCCGAGAATGCTTTCTGTTTAGTTTTTATGTGAAGATGATCCCGTTTCCAGTGAAATCTTCAAAGAGGTCCACATATCCCCTTGCAGATTCCAAAGAAAGAGGGTTTCAAAACTGCTCCATCAGAAGGATTGTTCAACTCTGTGAGTTGAATGCAGTCATCGCAGAAAACTTTCTGAGAATGCTTCTGTCTAGGTTTGATGTGAAGGTATAGACGTTTCAAACGAAGGCTACAAAGTGGTCAAAATATACACTTGCAGATTCTACTACAAGGGTGTTGCAAACCTGAACTATCAAAGGAAGGTTCAACTCTGTGAGTTGAATACAAACATCACAAAGAATGTTCTGAGTTTGCTTCCGTTCAGTTATGGGAAGTTGATCCCGTTTCCAACGAAATCCTCAGAGAGGTCCAAATATCCCCTTGCAGATTCTACAAAACGTGTGTTTGGAAACTGCTCCATCATAACGAATGTTCAGCTCCCTGAGTTAAACTCCATCGTCACAAAGAATTTTCTGAGAGTGCTACCGTCTGGTTTTTATATGAAGCTCTTTCCTTCACTACCACAGACCTCAAAGCGGTCCAAATCTCCACTTGCAGATTCTACAAAAAGAGTGTTTGCCAACTGCTCTATCAAAAGGAATGTTCAACTCTGGGAGTTGAATGCAATCATCACAGAGCAGTTTCTGAGAATGCTTCTATGTCGTTTTTAGGAGAAGATATTTCCTTTTCCAACACAGTCCTCCAAGCCCGCTAAATAGCCACTTGCACATTGTAGAAAAAGTGTGTCAAAGCTGCGCTATCAAAGGGAAAGTTCAACTCTGTGAGGTGAATGCAAACATCCCAAAGAAGTTTCTGAGAATGCTTCCGTTTAGCTTTTAGGTGAAGATTATCCCGTTTCCAACGAAACCTTCAAAGAGGTCCAAATATCCCCTTGCGGATCCCACAGAAAGAGTGTTTCGAAACTGCTGTTTCAAAAGGAATCTTCAACTCTGTGAGTTGAATGCAATCATCACAAAGAAGTTTCTGACAATGCTTCTCTCTCGTCTTTCTGTGAAGATAAAGGAAAAGGCTTTCAGGCCTTTTCCACCACAGGCCTGAAAGCGCTCCAAATGTCCACTTGCAGATTCTGCCAAAAGAATATTTCAAAACTGCTCTATGAAAAGCAACGTTAAACTCTGTCGCTCGAACACCAACATCACAAAGCAGTTTCTGAGAATGCTTCAGTTTAGTTTTTCTGTGGAAATATTCCCGTTTCCAAAGAAATCTTCAAAGAGGTCCACGTATCCACTTACAGATTCTACAAAAAGACAGTTTCAAAACTGCTCCATCAAAAGGAGGGTTCAACTGTGTGACTTGAATGCAATCATCACTCAGAAGTTTCTGAGAATGCTTCTCTTTAGTTTTTACGTGAACATATACCCGTTTCGAACGAAGGCCACCCAGTGGTCCAAATATCCACTTGCAGATTCTACAGAAAGAGTGTTTCGAACCTGAACTCTCAAAGGCAGGTTCATCTCTGCGAGTTAAATGCATTCATCATGAAGAACTTTCTCAGAGTGTTTGTGCTTAGTTATGGGAAATTATTCCCGTTTCCAACGAAATCCTCAGAGTGGTCCAAATATCCACCTGCAGATTCTACCAAAAGTGTATTTGGAAACTGCTCCATCAAAAGGCATGTTCAGCTCTGTGAGTGAAACTCCATCATCACAAAGAATATTCTGAGAATGCTTCCGTTTGCCTTTTATATGAAGTTCCTTCCTATACGACCGTAGGCCTCAAAGCAGTCCAAATCTCCATTTGCAGATTCTACAAAAAGAGTGATTCCAATCTGCTGTATCAATAGGATTGTTCAACTCCATGAGTTGAAAGCCATCCTCACGAAGTAGTTTCTGAGAATGCTTCTATCTAGTTTTTATGTGAAGATATTTCCTTTTCCACCACAGGCCTCAAAGCCTTCCAAACGTCCACTTGCAGATTCTCGAAAAAGAGTGTTTCATAGCTGCTCTTTCAAAAGGAAAGTTCAACTCTGGGAGTTGAATACAAACATCACAAAGTAGTTTCCGAGAATGCTTCTGTTTAGTTTTTATGTGAAGATGATCCCGTTTCCAGTGAAATCTTCAAAGAGGTCCACATATCCCCTTGCAGATTCCAAAGAAAGAGGGTTTCAAAACTGCTCCATCAGAAGGATTGTTCAACTCTGTGAGTTGAATGCAGTCATCGCAGAAAACTTTCTGAGAATGCTTCTGTCTAGGTTTGATGTGAAGATATAGACGTTTCAAACGAAGGCTACAACGTGGTCAAAATATACACTTGCAGATTCTACTACAAGGGTGTTGGAAACCTGAAGTATCAAAGGATGGTTCAACTCTGTGAGTTGAATACAAACATCACAAAGAATGTTCTGAGTTTGCTTCCGTTCAGTTATGGGAAGTTGATCCCGTTTCCAACGAAATCCTCAGAGAGGTCCAAATATCCCCTCGCAGATTCTACAAAACGTTTGTTTGGAAACTGCTCCATCATAACGAATGTTCAGCTCCCTGAGTTAAACTCCATCGTCACAAAGAATTTTCTGAGAGTGCTACCGTCTGGTTTTTATATGAAGTTCTTTCCTTCACTACCACAGGCCTCAAAGCGGTCCAAATCCCCACTTGCAGATTCTACAAAAAGAGTGTTTGCAAACTGCTCTATCAAAAGGAATGTTCAACTCTGGGAGTTGAATGCAATCATCACAGAGCAGTTTCTGAGAATGCTTCTATGTCGTTTTTAGGAGAAGATATTTCCTTTTCCAACACAGTCCTCCAAGCCCGCTAAATAGCCACTTGCACATTGTAGAAAAAGTGTGTCAAAGCTGCGCTATCAAAGGGAAAGTTCAACTCTGTGAGGTGAATGCAAACATCCCAAAGAAGTTTCTGAGAATGCTTCCGTTTAGCTTTTAGGTGAAGATTATCCCGTTTCCAACGAAACCTTCAAAGAGGTCCAAATATCCCCTTGCGGATCCCACAGAAAGAGTGTTTCGAAACTGCTGTTTCAAAAGGAATCTTCAACTCTGTGAGTTGAATGCAATCATCACAAAGAAGTTTCTGACAATGCTTCTCTCTCGTCTTTCTGTGAAGATAAAGGAAAAGGCTTTCAGGCCTTTGCCACCACAGGCCTGAAAGCGCTCCAAGTGTCCACTTGCAGATTCTGCGAAAAGAATATTTCAAAACTGCTCTATGAAAAGCAATGTTAAACTCTGTGGCTCGAACACAAACATCACAAAGAGGTTTCTGAGAATGCTTCAGTTTAGTTTTTCTGTGGAAATATTCCCGTTTCCAAAGAAATCTTCAAAGAGGTCCACGTATCCACTTACAGATTCTACAAAAAGACAGTTTCAAAACTGCTCCATCAAAAGGAGGGTTCAACTGTGTGACTTGAATGCAATCATCACTCAGAAGTTTCTGAGAATGCTTCTCTTTAGTTTTTACGTGAACATATACCCGTTTCGAACGAAGGCCACCCAGTGGTCCAAATATCCACTTGCAGATTCTACAGAAAGAGTGTTTCGAACCTGAACTCTCAAAGGCAGGTTCATCTCTGCGAGTTAAATGCATTCATCATGAAGAACTTTCTCAGAGTGTTTGTGTTTAGTTATGGGAAATTATTCCCGTTTCCAACGAAATCCTCAGAGAGCTCCAAATATCCACCTGCAGATTCTACCAAAAGTGTATTTGGAAACTGCTCCATCAAAAGGCATGTTCAGCTCTGTGAGTGAAACTCCATCATCACAAAGAATATTCTGAGAATGCTTCCGTTTGCCTTTTATATGAAGTTCCTTCCTATACGACCGTAGGCCTCAAAGCAGTCCAAATCTCCATTTGCAGATTCTACAAAAAGAGTGATTCCAATCTGCTCTATCAATAGGATTGTTCAACTCCATGAGTTGAATGCCATCCTCACAAAGTCGTTTCTGAGAATGCTTCTATCTAGTTTTTATGTGAAGATATTTCCTTTTCCACCACAGGCCTCAAAGCCCTCCAAACGTCCACTTGCAGATTCTCGAAAAAGAGTGTTTCATAGCTGCTCTTTCAAAAGGAAAGTTCAACTCTGGGAGTTGAATACAAACATCACAAAGTAGTTTCCGAGAATGCTTCTGTTTAGTTTTTATGTGAAGATGATCCCGTTTCCAGTGAAATCTTCAAAGAGGTCCACATATCCCCTTGCAGATTCCAAAGAAAGAGGGTTTCAAAACTGCTCCATCAGAAGGATTGTTCAACTCTGTGAGTTGAATGCAGTCATCACAGAAAACTTTCTGAGAATGCTTCTGTCTAGGTTTGATGTGAAGATATAGACGTTTCAAACGAAGGCTACAAAGTGGTCAAAATATACACTTGCAGATTCTACTACAAGGGTGTTGCAAACCTGAACTATCAAAGGAAGGTTCAACTCTGTGAGTTGAATACAAACATCACAAAGAATGTTCTGAGTTTGCTTCCGTTCAGTTATGGGAAGTTGATCCCGTTTCCAACGAAATCCTCAGAGAGGTCCAAATATCCCCTTGCAGATTCTACAAAACGTGTGTTTGGAAACTGCTCCATCATAACGAATGTTCAGCTCCCTGAGTTAAACTCCATCGTCACAAAGAATTTTCTGAGAGTGCTTCTATGTCGTTTTTAGGAGAAGATATTTCCTTTTCCAACACAGTCCTCCAAGCCCGCTAAATAGCCACTTGCACATTGTAGAAAAAGTGTGTCGAAGCTGCGCTATCAAAGGGAAAGTTCAACTCTGTGAGGTGAATGCAAACATCCCAAAGAAGTTTCTGAGAATGCTTCCGTTTAGCTTTTAGGTGAAGATTATCCCGTTTCCAACGAAATCTTCAAAGAGTTCCAAATATCCCCTTGCGGATCCCACAGAAAGAGTGTTTCGAAACTGCTGTTTCAAAAGGAATCTTCAACTCTGTGAGTTGAATGCAATCATCACAAAGAAGTTTCTGACAATGCTTCTCTCTCGTCTTTTTGTGAAGATAAAGGAAAAGGCTTTCAGGCCTTTTCCACCACAGGCCTGAAAGCGCTCCAAATGTCCACTTGCAGATTCTGCCAAAAGAATATTTCAAAACTGCTCTATGAAAAGCAATGTTAAACTCTGCGGCTCGAACACAAACATCACAAAGCAGTTTCTGAGAATGCTTCAGTTTAGTTTTTCTGTGGAAATATTCCCGTTTCCAAAGAAATCTTCAAAGAGGTCCACGCATCCACTTACAGATTCTACAAAAAGACAGTTTCAAAACTGCTCAATCAAAAGGAGGGTTCAACTGTGTGACTTGAATGCATTCATCACTCAGAAGTTTCTGAGAATGCTTCTCTTTAGTTTTTACGTGAACATATACCCGTTTCGAACGAAGGCCAGCCAGTGGTCCAAATATCCACTTGCAGATTCTACAGAAAGAGTGTTTCGAACCTGAACTCTCAAAGGCAGGTTCATCTCTGCGAGTTAAATGCATTCATCATGAAGAACTTTCTCAGCGTGTTTGTGTTTAGTTATGGGAAATTATTCCCTTTTCCAACGAAATCCTCAAAGAGCTCCAAATATCCACCTGCAGATTCTACCAAAAGTGTATTTGGAAACTGCTCCATCAAAAGGCATGTTCAGCTCTGTGAGTGAAACTCCATCATCACAAAGAATATTCTGAGAATGCTTCCATTTGCCTTTTATATGAAGTTCCTTCCTATACTACCGTAGGCCTCAAAGCAGTCCAAATCTCCATTTGCAGATTCTTCAAAAAGAGTGATTCCAATCTGCTCTATCAATAGGACTGTTCAACTCCATGAGTTGAATGCCATCCTCACAAAGTAGTTTCTGAGAATGTTTCTATCTAGTTTTTATGTGAAGATATTTCCTTTTCCACCACAGGCCTCAAAGCCCTCCAAACGTCCACTTGCAGATTCTCGAAAAAGAGTGTTTCATAGCTGCTCTTTCAAAAGGAAAGTTCAACTCTGGGAGCTGAATACAAACATCACAAAGTAGTTTCCGAGAATGCTTCTGTTTAGTTCTTATGTGAAGATGATCCCGTTTCCAGTGAAATCTTCAAAGAGGTCCACATATCCCCTTGCAGATTCCAAAGAAAGAGGGTTTCAAAACTGCTCCATCAAAAGGATTGTTCAACTCTGTGAGTTGAATGCAGTCATCGCAGAAAACTTTCTGAGAATGCTTCTGTCTAGGTTTGATGTGAAGATATAGACGTTTCAAACGAAGGCTACATAGTGGTCAACATATACACTTGCAGATTCTACTACAAGGGTGATGCAAACCTGAACTATCAAAGGAAGGTTCAACTCTGTGAGTTGAATACAAACATCACAAAGAATGTTCTGAGTTTGCTTCCGTTCAGCTATGGGAAGTTGATCCCGTTTCCAACGAAATCCTCAGAGAGGTCCAAATATCCCCTTGCAGATTCTACAAAACCTGTGTTTGGAAACTGCTCCATCATAACGAATGTTCAGCTCTCTGAGTTAAACTCCATCGTCACAAAGAATTTTCTGAGGGTGCTACCGTCTAGTTTTTATATGAAGTTCTTTCCTTTACTACCACAGGCCTCAAAGCGGTCCAAATCTCCACTTGCAGATTCTACAAAAAGAGTGTTTGCAAACTGCTCTATCAAAAGGAATGTTCAACTCTGGGAGTTGAATGCAATCATCACAGAGCAGTTTCTGAGAATGCTTCTATGTCGTTTTTAGGAGAAGATATTTCCTTTTCCAACACAGTCCTCCAAGCCCGCTAAATATCCACTTGCACATTGTAGAAAAAGTGTGTCGAAGCTGCGCTATCAAAGGGAAAGTTCAACTCTGTGAGGTGAATGCAAACATCCCAAAGAAGTTTCTGAGAATGCTTCCGTTTAGCTTTTAGGTGACGATTATCCAGTTTCCAACGAAACCTTCAAAGAGATCCAAATATCCCCTTGCGGATCCCACAGAAAGAGTGTTTCGAAACTGCTGTTTCAAAAGGAATCTTCAACTCTGTGAGTTGAATGCAATCATCACAAAGAAGTTTCTGACAATGCTTCTCTCTCGTCTTTCTGTGAAGATAAAGGAAAAGGCTTTCAGGCCTTTTCCACCACAGGCCTGAAAGCGCTCCAAATGTCCACTTGCAGATTCTGCCAAAAGAATATTTCAAAACTGCTCTATGAAAAGCAATGTTAAACTCTGCGGCTCGAACACAAACATCACAAAGCAGTTTCTGAGAATGCTTCAGTTTAGTTTTTCTGTGGAAATATTCCCGTTTCCAAAGAAATCTTCAAAGAGGTCCACGCATCCACTTACAGATTCTACAAAAAGACAGTTTCAAAACTGCTCAATCAAAAGGAGGGTTCAACTGTGTGACTTGAATGCATTCATCACTCAGAAGTTTGCTGAGAACGCTTCTCTTTAGTTTTTACGTGAACATATACCCGTTTCGAACGAAGGCCAGCCAGTGGTCCAAATATCCACTTGCAGATTCTACAGAAAGAGTGTTTTGAACCTGAACTCTCAAAGGCAGGTTCATCTCTGCGAGTTAAATGCATTCATCATGAAGAACTTTCTCAGCGTGTTTGTGTTTAGTTATGGGAAATTATTCCCGTTTCCAACGAAATCGTCAGAGAGCTCCAAATATCCACCTGCAGATTCTACCAAAAGTGTATTTGGAAACTGCTCCATCAAAAGGCATGTTCAGCTCTGTGAGTGAAACTCCATCATCACAAAGAATATTCTGAGAATGCTTCCGTTTGCCTTTTATATGAAGTTCCTTCCTATACTACCGTAGGCCTCAAAGCAGTCCAAATCTCCATTTGCAGATTCTACAAAAAGAGTGATTCCATTCTGCTCTATCAATAGGATTGTTCAACTCCATGAGTTGAATGCCATCCTCACAAAGTAGTTTCTGAGAATGCTTCTATCTAGTTTTTATGTGAAGATATTTCCTTTTCCACCACAGGCCTCAAAGCCCTCCAAACGTCCACTTGCAGATTCTCGAAAAAGAGGGTTTCATAGCTGCTCTTTCAAAAGGAAAGTTCAACTCTGGGAGTTGAATACAAACATCACAAAGTAGTTTCCGAGAATGCTTCTCTTTAGTTCTTATGTGAAGATGATCCCGTTTCCAGTGAAATCTTCAAAGAGGTCCACATATCCCCTTGCAGATTCCAAAGAAAGAGGGTTTCAAAACTGCTCCATCAAAAGGATTGTTCAACTCTGTGAGTTGAATGCAGTCATCGCAGAAAACTTTCTGAGAATGCTTCTGTCTAGGTTTGATGTGAAGATATAGACGTTTCAAACGAAGGCTACAAAGTGGTCAACATATACACTTGCAGATTCTACTACAAGGGTGATGCAAACCTGAAATATCAAAGGAAGTTTCAACTCTGTGAGTTGAATACAAACATCACAAAGAATGTTCTGAGTTTGCTTCCGTTCAGTTATGGGAAGTTGATCCCGTTTCCAACGAAATCCTCAGAGAGGTCCAAATATCCCCTTGCAGATTCTACAAAATGTGTGTTTGGAAACTGCTCCATCATAACGAATGTTCAGCTCTCTGAGTTAAACTCCATCGTCACAAAGAATTTTCTGAGAGTGCTACCGTCTAGTTTTTAAAGGAAGTTCTTTCCTTTACTACCACAGGCCTCAAAGCAGTCCAAATCTCCACTTGCAGATTCTACAAAAAGAGTGTTTGCAAACTGCTCTATCAAAAGGAATGTTCAACTCTGGGAGTTGAATGCAATCATCACAGAACAGTTTCTGAGAATGCTTCTATGTCGTTTTTAGGAGAAGATATTTCCTTTTCCAACACAGTCCTCAAAGCCCGCTAAATATCGACTTGCACATTGTAGAAAAAGTGTGTCGAAGCTGCGCTAACAAAGGGAAAGTTCAACTCTGTGAGGTGAATGCAAACATCCCAAAGAAGTTTCTGAGAATGCTTCCGTTTAGCTTTTAGGTGAAGATTATCCCGTTTCCAACGAAATCTTCAAAGAGGTCCAAATATCCCCTTGCGGATCCCACAGAAAGAGTGTTTCGAAACTGCTGTTTCAAAAGGAATCTTCAACTCTGTGAGTTGAATGCAATCATCACAAAGAAGTTTCTGACAATGCTTCTCTCTCGTCTTTCTGTGAAGATAAAGGAAAAGGCTTTCAGGCCTTTTCCACCACAGGCCTGAAAGCGCTCCAAATGTCCACTTGCAGATTCTGCCAAAAGAATATTTCAAAACTGCTCTATGAAAAGCAATGTTAAACTCTGTGGCTCGAACACAAACATCACAAAGCAGTTTCTGAGAATGCTTCAGTTTAGTTTTTCTGTGGAAATATTCCCGTTTCGAAAGAAATCTTCAAAGAGGTCCACGTATCCACTTACAGATTCTACAAAAAGACAGTTTCAAAACTGCTCAATCAAAAGGAGTGTTCAACCGTGTGACTTGAATGCAATCATCACTCAGAAGTTTCTGAGAATGCTTCTCTTTAGTTTTTACGTGAACATATACCCGTTTCGAACGAAGGCCACCCAGTGGTCCAAATATCCACTTGCAGATTCTACAGAAAGAGTGTTTCGAACCTGAACTCTCAAAGGCAGGTTCATCTCTGCGAGTTCAATGCATTCATCATGAAGAACTTTCTCAGAGTGTTTGTGTTTAGGTATGGGAAATTATTGCCGTTTCCAACGAAATCCTCAGAGAGGTCCAAATATCCACCTGCAGATTCTACCAAAAGTGTATTTGGAAACTGCTCCATCAAAAGGCATGTTCAGCTCTGTGAGTGAAACTCCATCATCACAAAGAATATTCTGAGAATGCTTCCGTTTGCCTTTTATCTGAAGTTCCTTCCTATACGACCGTAGGCCTCAAAGCAGTCCAAATCTCCATTTGCAGATTCTACAAAAAGAGTGATTCCAATCTGCTCTATCAATAGGATTGTTCAACTCCATGAGTTGAATGCCATCCTCACAAAGTCGTTTCTGAGAATGCTTTCTATCTAGTTTTTATGTGAAGATATTTCCTTTTCCACCACAGGCCTCAAAGCCCTCCAAACGTCCACTTGCAGATTCTCGAAAAAGAGTGTTTCATAGCTGCTCTTTCAAAAGGAAAGTTCAACTCTGGCAGTTGAATACAAACATCACAAAGTAGTTTCCGAGAATGCTTCTGTTTAGTTTTTATGTGAAGATGATCCCGTTTCCAGTGAAATCTTCAAAGAGGTCCACATATCCCCTTGCAGATTCCAAAGAAAGAGGGTTTCAAAACTGCTCCATCAGAAGGATTGTTCAACTCTGTGAGTTGAATGCAGTCATCGCAGAAAACTTTCTGAGAATGCTTCTGTCTAGGTTTGATGTGAAGATATAGACGTTTCAAACGAAGGCTACAAAGTGGTCAAAATATACACTTGCAGATTCTACTACAAGGGTGTTGCAAACCTGAACTATCAAAGGAAGGTTCAACTCTGTGAGTTGAATACAAACATCACAAAGAATGTTCTGAGTTTGCTTCCGTTCAGTTATGGGAAGTTGATCCCTTTTCCAACGAAATCCTCAGAGAGGTCCAAATATCCCCTCGCAGATTCTACAAAACGTGTGTTTGGAAACTGCTCCATCATAACGAATGTTCAGCTCCCTGAGTTAAACTCCATCGTCACAAAGAATTTTCTGAGAGTGCTACCGTCTGGTTTTTATATGAAGTTCTTTCCTTCACTACCACAGGCCTCAAAGCGGTCCAAATCTCCACTTGCAGATTCTACAAAAAGAGTGTTTGCAAACTGCTCTATCAAAAGGAATGTTCAACTCTGGGAGTTGAATGCAATCATCACAGAGCAGTTTCTGAGAATGCTTCTATGTCGTTTTTAGGAGAAGATATTTCCTTTTCCAACACAGTCCTCCAAGCCCGCTAAATAGCCACTTGCACATTGTAGAAAAAGTGTGTCAAAGCTGCGCTATCAAAGGGAAAGTTCAACTCTGTGAGGTGAATGCAAACATCCCAAAGAAGTTTCTGAGAATGCTTCCGTTTAGCTTTTAGGTGAAGATTATCCCGTTTCCAACGAAACCTTCAAAGAGGTCCAAATATCCCCTTGCGGATCCCACAGAAAGAGTGTTTCGAAACTGCTGTTTCAAAAGGAATCTTCAACTCTGTGAGTTGAATGCAATCATCACAAAGAAGTTTCTGACAATGCTTCTCTCTCGTCTTTCTGTGAAGATAAAGGAAAAGGCTTTCAGGCCTTTTCCACCACAGGCCTGAAAGCGCTCCAAATGTCCACTTGCAGATTCTGCCAAAAGAATATTTCAAAACTGCTCTATGAAAAGCAATGTTAAACTCTGTGGCTGGAACACAAACATCACAAAGCGGTTTCTGAGAATGTTTCAGTTTAGTTTTTCTGTGGAAATATTCCCGTTTCCAAAGAAATCTTCAAAGAGGTCCACGTATCCACTTACAGATTCTACAAAAAGACAGTTTCAAAACTGCTCCATCAAAAGGAGGGTTCAACTGTGTGACTTGAATGCAATCATCACTCAGAAGTTTCTGAGAATGCTTCTCTTTAGTTTTTACGTGAACATATACCCGTTTCGAACGAAGGCCACCCAGTGGTCCAAATATCCACTTGCAGATTCTACAGAAAGAGTGTTTCGAACCTGAACTCTCAAAGGCAGGTTCATCTCTGCGAGTTAAATGCATTCATCATGAAGAACTTTCTCAGAGTGTTTGTGTTTAGTTATGGGAAATTATTCCCGTTTCCAACGAAATCCTCAGAGAGCTCCAAATATCCACCTGCAGATTCTACCAAAAGTGTATTTGGAAACTGCTCCATCAAAAGGCATGTTCAGCTCTGTGAGTGAAACTCCATCATCACAAAGAATATTCTGAGAATGCTTCCGTTTGCCTTTTATATGAAGTTCCTTCCTATACGACCGTAGGCCTCAAAGCAGTCCAAATCTCCATTTGCAGATTCTACAAAAGAGTGATTCCAATCTGCTCTATCAATAGGATTGTTCAACTCCATGAGTTGAATGCCATCCTCACAAAGTAGTTTCTGAGAATGCTTCTATCTGGTTTTTGTGTGAAGATATTTCCTTTTCCACCACAGGCCTCAAAGCCCTCCAAACGTCCACTTGCAGATTCTCGAAAAAGAGTGTTTCATAGCTGCTCTTTCAAAAGGAAAGTTCAACTCTGGGAGTTGAATACAAACATCACAAAATAGTTTCCGAGAATGCTTCTGTTTAGTTTTTATGTGAAGATGATCCCGTTTCCAGTGAAATCTTCAAAGAGGTCCACATATCCCCTTGCAGATTCCAAAGAAAGAGGGTTTCAAAACTGCTCCATCAAAAGGATTGTTCAACTCTGTGAGTTGAATGCAGTCATCGCAGAAAACTTTCTGAGAATGCTTCTGTCTAGGTTTGATGTGAAGATATAGACGTTTCAAACGAAGGCTACAAAGTGGTCAAAATATACACTTGCAGATTCTACTACAAGGGTGTTGCAAACCTGAACTATCAAAGGAAGGTTCAACTCTGTGAGTTGAATACAAACATCACAAAGAATGTTCTGAGTTTGCTTCCGTTCAGTTATGGGAAGTTGATCCCGTTTCCAACGAAATCCTCAGAGAGGTCCAAATATCCCCTTGCAGATTCTACAAAACGTGTGTTTGGAAACTGCTCCATCATAACGAATGTTCAGCTCTCTGAGTTAAACTCCATCGTCACAAAAAATTTTCTGAGAGTGCTACCGTCTGGTTTTTATATGAAGTTCTTTCCTTTACTACCACAGGCCTCAAAGCGGTCCAAATCTCCACTTGCATATTCTACAAAAAGAGTGTTTGCAAACTGCTCTATCAAAAGGAATGTTCAACTCTGGGAGTTGAATGCAATCATCACAGAGCAGTTTCTGAGAATGCTTCTATGTCGTTTTTAGGAGAAGATATTTCCTTTTCCAACACAGTCCTCCAAGCCCGCTAAATATCCACTTGCACATTGTAGACAAAGTGTGTCGAAGCTGCGCTATCAAAGGGAAAGTTCAACTCTGTGAGGTGAATGCAAACATCCCAAAGAAGTTTCTGAGAATGCTTCCGTTTAGCTTTTAGGTGAAGATTATCCCGTTTCCAACGAAATCTTCAAAGAGGTCCAAATATCCCCTTGCGGATCCCACAGAAAGAGTGTTTCGAAACTGCTGTTTCAAAAGGAATCTTCAACTCTGTGGGTTGAATGCAATCATCACAAAGAAGTTTCTGACAATGCTTTCTCTCTCGTCTTTCTGTGAAGATAAAGGAAAAGGCTTTCAGGCCTTTTCCACCCACAGGCCTGAAAGCGCTCCAAATGTCCACTTGCAGATTCTTCCAAAAGAATATTTCAAAACTGCTCTATGAAAAGCAATGTTAAACTCTGCGGCTCGAACACAAACATCACAAAGCAGTTTCAGAGAATGCTTCAGTTTAGTTTTTCTGTGGAAATATTCCTGTTTCCAAAGAAATCTTCAAAGAGGTCCACGCATCCACTTACAGATTCTACAAAAAGACAGTTTCAAAACTGCTCAATCAAAAGGAGGGTTCAACTGTGTGACTTGAATGCAATCATCACTCAGAAGTTTCTGAGAACGCTTCTCTTTAGTTTTTACGTGAACATATACCCGTTTCGAACGAAGGCCAGCCAGTGGTCCAAATATCCACTTGCAGATTCTACAGAAAGAGTGTTTCGAACCTGAACTCTCAAAGGCAGGTTCATCTCTGCGAGTTCAATGCATTCATCATGAAGAACTTTCTCAGCGTGTTTGTGTTTAGTTATGGGAAATTATTCCCGTTTCCAACGAAATCCTCAGAGAGCTCCAAATATCCACCTGCAGATTCTACCAAAAGTGTATTTGGAAACTGCTCCATCAAAAGGCATGTTCAGCTCTGTGAGTGAAACTCCATCATCACAAAGAATATTCTGAGAATGCTTCCGTTTGCCTTTTATATGAAGTTCCTTCCTATACTACCGTAGGCCTCAAAGCAGTCCAAATCTCCATTTGCAGATTCTACAAAAAGAGTGATTCCAATCTGCTCTATCAATAGGATTGTTCAACTCCATGAGTTGAATGCCATCCTCACAAAGTCGTTTCTGAGAATGCTTCTATCTAGTTTTTATGTGAAGATATTTCCTTTTCCACCACAGGCCTCAAAGCCCTCCAAACGTCCACTTGCACATTCTCGAAAAAGACTGTTTCATAGCTGCTCTTTCAAAAGGAAAGTTCAACTCTGGGAGTTGAATACAAACATCACAAAGTAGTTTCCGAGAATGCTTCTGTTTAGTTTTTATGTGAAGATGATCCCGTTTCCAGTGAAATCTTCAAAGAGGTCCACATATCCCCTTGCAGATTCCAAAGAAAGAGGGTTTCAAAACTGCTCCATCAGAAGGATTGTTCAACTGTGTGAGTTGAATGCAGTCATCGCAGAAAACTTTCTGAGAATGCTTCTGTCTAGGTTTGATGTGAAGATATAGACGTTTCAAACGAAGGCTACAAAGTGGTCAAAATATACACTTGCAGATTCTACTACAAGGGTGTTGCAAACCTGAACTATCAAAGGAAGGTTCAACTCTGTGAATTGAATACAAACATCACAAAGAATGTTCTGAGTTTGCTTCCGTTCAGTTATGGGAAGTTGATCCCGTTTCCAACGAAATCCTCAGAGAGGTCCAAATATCCCCTCGCAGATTCTACAAAACGTGTGTTTGGAAACTGCTCCATCATAACGAATGTTCAGCTCCCTGAGTTAAACTCCATCGTCACAAAGAATTTTCTGAGAGTGCTACCGTCTGGTTTTTATATGAAGTTCTTTCCTTCACTACCACAGGCCTCAAAGCGGTCCAAATCTCCACTTGCAGATTCTACAAAAAGAGTGTTTGCAAACTGCTCTATCAAAAGGAATGTTCAACTCTGGGAGTTGAATGCAATCATCACAGAGCAGTTTCTGAGAATGCTTCTATGTCGTTTTTAGGAGAAGATATTTCCTTTTCCAACACAGTCCTCCAAGCCCGCTAAATAGCCACTTGCACATTGTAGAAAAAGTGTGTCAAAGCTGCGCTATCAAAGGGAAAGTTCAACTCTGTGAGGTGAATGCAAACATCCCAAAGAAGTTTCTGAGAATGCTTCCGTTTAGCTTTTAGGTGAAGATTATCCCGTTTCCAACGAAACCTTCAAAGAGGTCCAAATATCCCCTTGCGGATCCCACAGAAAGAGTGTTTCGAAACTGCTGTTTCAAAAGGAATCTTCAACTCTGTGAGTTGAATGCAATCATCACAAAGAAGTTTCTGACAATGCTTCTCTCTCGTCTTTCTGTGAAGATAAAGGAAAAGGCTTTCAGGCCTTTTCCACCACAGGCCTGAAAGCGCTCCAAATGTCCACTTGCAGATTCTGCGAAAAGAATATTTCAAAACTGCTCTATGAAAAGCAATGTTAAACTCTGTGGCTCGAACACAAACATCACAAAGCAGTTTCTGAGAATGCTTCAGTTTAGTTTTTCTGTGGAAATATTCCCGTTTCCAAAGAAATCTTCAAAGAGGTCCACGTATCCACTTACAGATTCTACAAAAAGACAGTTTCAAAACTGCTCCATCAAAAGGAGGGTTCAACCGTGTGACTTGAATGCAATCATCACTCAGAAGTTTCTGAGAATGCTTCTCTTTAGTTTTTACGTGAACATATACCCGTTTCGAACGAAGGCCACCCAGTGGTCCAAATATCCACTTGCAGATTATACAGAAAGAGTGTTTCGAACCTGAACTCTCAAAGGCAGGTTCATCTCTGCGAGTTAAATGCATTCATCATGAAGAACTTTCTCAGAGTGTTTGTGTTTAGTTATGGGAAATTATTCCCGTTTCCAACGAAATCCTCAGAGAGCTCCAAATATCCACCTGCAGATTCTACCAAAAGTGGATTTGGAAACTGCTCCATCAAAAGGCATGTTCCGCTCTGTGAGTGAAACTCCATCATTACAAAGAATATTCTGAGAATGCTTCCGTTTGCCTTTTATATGAAGTTCCTTCCTATACGACCGTAGGCCTCAAAGCAGTCCAAATCTCCATTTGCAGATTCTACAAAAAGAGTGATTCCAATCTGCTCTATCAATAGGATTGTTCAACTCCATGAGTTGAATGCCATCCTCACAAAGTCGTTTCTGAGAATGCTTCTATCTAGTTTTTATGTGAAGATATTTCCTTTTCCACCACAGGCCTCAAAGCCCTCCAAACGTCCACTTGCAGATTCTCGAAAAAGAGTGTTTCATAGCTGCTCTTTCAAAAGGAAAGTTCAACTCTGGGAGTTGAATACAAACATCACAAAGTAGTTTCCGAGAATGCTTCTGTTTAGTTTTTATGTGAAGATGATCCCGTTTCCAGTGAAATCTTCAAAGAGGTCCACATATCCCCTTGCAGATTCCAAAGAAAGAGGGTTTCAAAACTGCTCCATCAGAAGGATTGTTCAACTCTGTGAGTTGAATGCAGTCATCGCAGAAAACTTTCTGAGAATGCTTCTGTCTAGGTTTGATGTGAAGATATAGACGTTTCAAACGAAGGCTACAAAGTGGTCAAAATATACACTTGCAGATTCTACTACAAGGGTGTTGCAAACCTGAACTATCAAAGGAAAGTTCAACTCTGTGAGTTGAATACAAACATCACAAAGAATGTTCTGAGTTTGCTTCCGTTCAGTTATGGGAAGTTGATCCCGTTTCCAACGAAATCC
This sequence comes from Homo sapiens, assembly GCF_000001405.40. Lineage (NCBI taxonomy): Eukaryota > Metazoa > Chordata > Mammalia > Primates > Hominidae > Homo > Homo sapiens. Next base: position 58,648,059 of record NC_000023.11, on the reverse strand, counting down.
TCAGAGAGGTCCAAATATCCCCTTGCAGATTCTACAAAACGTGTGTTTGGAAACTGCTCCATCATAACGAATGTTCAGCTCCCTGAGTTAAACTCCATCGTCACAAAGAATTTTCTGAGAGTGCTACCGTCTGGTTTTTATATGAAGTTCTTTCCTTCACTACCACAGACCTCAAAGCGGTCCAAATCTCCACTTGCAGATTCTACAAAAAGAGTGTTTGCAAACTGCTCTATCAAAAGGAATGTTCAACTCTGGGAGTTGAATGCAATCATCACAGAGCAGTTTCTGAGAATGCTTCTATGTCGTTTTTAGGAGAAGATATTTCCTTTTCCAACACAGTCCTCCAAGCCCGCTAAATAGCCACTTGCACATTGTAGAAAAAGTGTGTCAAAGCTGCGCTATCAAAGGGAAAGTTCAACTCTGTGAGGTGAATGCAAACATCCCAAAGAAGTTTCTGAGAATGCTTCCGTTTAGCTTTTAGGTGAAGATTATCCCGTTTCCAACGAAACCTTCAAAGAGGTCCAAATATCCCCTTGCGGATCCCACAGAAAGAGTGTTTCGAAACTGCTGTTTCAAAAGGAATCTTCAACTCTGTGAGTTGAATGCAATCATCACAAAGAAGTTTCTGACAATGCTTCTCTCTCGTCTTTCTGTGAAGATAAAGGAAAAGGCTTTCAGGCCTTTTCCACCACAGGCCTGAAAGCGCTCCAAATGTCCACTTGCAGATTCTGCGAAAAGAATATTTCAAAACTGCTCTATGAAAAGCAATGTTAAACTCTGCGGCTCGAACACAAACATCACAAAGCGGTTTCTGAGAATGCTTCAGTTTAGTTTTTCTGTGGAAATATTCCCGTTTCCAAAGAAATCTTCAAAGAGGTCCACGTATCCACTTACAGATTCTACAAAAAGACAGTTTCCAAACTGCTCCATCAAAAGGAGGGTTCAACCGTGTGACTTGAATGCAATCATCACTCAGAAGTTTCTGAGAATGCTTCTCTTTAGTTTTTACGTGAACATATACCCGTTTCGAACGAAGGCCACCCAGTGGTCCAAATATCCACTTGCAGATTATACAGAAAGATTGTTTCGAACCTGAACTCTCAAAGGCAGGTTCATCTCTGCGAGTTAAATGCATTCATCATGAAGAACTTTCTCAGAGTGTTTGTGTTTAGTTATGGGAAATTATTCCCGTTTCCAACGAAATCCTCAGAGAGCTCCAAATATCCACCTGCAGATTCTACCAAAAGTGTATTTGGAAACTGCTCCATCAAAAGGCATGTTCAGCTCTGTGAGTGAAACTCCATCATCACAAAGAATATTCTGAGAATGCTTCCGTTTGCCTTTTATATGAAGTTCCTTCCTGTACTACCGTAGGCCTCAAAGCAGTCCAAATCTCCATTTGCAGATTCTACAAAAAGAGTGATTCCAATCTGCTCTATCAATAGGATTGTTCAACTCCATGAGTTGAATGCCATCCTCACAAAGCAGTTTCTGAGAATGCTTCTATCTAGTTTTTATGTGAAGATATTTCCTTTTCCACCACAGGCCTCAAAGCCCTCCAAACGTCCACTTTCAGATTCTCGAAAAAGAGTGTTTCATAGCTGCTCTTTCAAAAGGAAAGTTCAACTCTGGGAGTTGAATACAAACATCACAAAGTAGTTTCCGAGAATGCTTTCTGTTTAGTTCTTATGTGAAGATGATCCCGTTTCCAGTGAAATCTTCAAAGAGGTCCACATATCCCCTTGCAGATTCCAAAGAAAGAGGGTTTCAAAACTGCTCCATCAAAAGGATTGTTCAACTCTGTGAGTTGAATGCAGTCATCGCAGAAAACTTTCTGAGAATGCTTCGGTCTAGGTTTGAGGTGAAGATATAGACGTTTCAAACGAAGGCTACAAAGTGGTCAAAATATACACTTGCAGATTCTACTACAAGGGTGTTGCAAACCTCAACTATCAAAGGAAGGTTCAACTCTGTGAGTTGAATACAAACATCACAAAGAATGTTCTCAGTTTGCTTCTGTTCAGTTATGGGAAGTTGATCCCGTTTCCAACGAAATCCTCAGAGAGGTCCAAATATCCCCTTGCAGATTCTACAAAACGTGTGTTTGGAAACTGCTCCATCATAACGAATGTTCAGCTCTCTGAGTTAAACTCCATCGTCACAAAGAATTTTCTGAGAGTGCTACCGTCTGGTTTTTATATGAAGTTCTTTCCTTTACTACCACAGGCCTCAAAGCGGTCCAAATCTCCACTTGCAGATTCTACAAAAACAGTGTTTGCAAACTGCTCTATCAAAAGGAATGTTCAACTCTGGGAGTTGAATGCAATCATCACAGAGCAGTTTCTGAGAATGCTTCTATGTCGTTTTTAGGAGAAGATATTTCCTTTTCCAACACAGTCCTCCAAGCCCGCTAAATATCCACTTGCACATTGTAGAAAAAGTGTGTCGAAGCTGCGCTATCAAAGGGAAAGTTCAACTCTGTGAGGTGAATGCAAACATCCCAAAGAAGTTTCTGAGAATGCTTCCGTTTAGCTTTTAGGTGAAAATTATCCCGTTTCCAACGAAATCTTCAAAGAGGTCCAAATATCCCCTTGCGGATCCCACAGAAAGAGTGTTTCGAAACTGCTGTTTCAAAAGGAATCTTCAACTCTGTGAGTTGAATGCAATCATCACAAAGAAGTTTCTGACAATGCTTCTCTCTCGTCTTTCTGTGAAGATAAAGGAAAAGGCTTTCAGGCCTTTTCCACCACAGGCCTGAAAGCGCTCCAAATGTCCACTTGCAGATTCTGCCAAAAGAATATTTCAAAACTGCTCTATGAAAAGCAATGTTAAACTCTGTGGCTCGAACACAAACATCACAAAGCAGTTTCTGAGAATGCTTCAGTTTAGTTTTTCTGTGGAAATATTCCCGTTTCGAAAGAAATCTTCAAAGAGGTCCACGCATCCACTTACAGATTCTACAAAAAGACAGTTTCAAAACTGCTCAATCAAAAGGAGGGTTCAACCGTGTGACTTGAATGCAATCATCACTCAGAAGTTTCTGAGAATGCTTCTCTTTAGTTTTTACGTGAACATATACCCGTTTCGAACGAAGGCCACCCAGTGGTCCAAATATCCACTTGCAGATTCTACAGAAAGAGTGTTTCGAACCTGAACTCTCAAAGGCAGGTTCATCTCTGCGAGTTCAATGCATTCAACATGAAGAACTTTCTCAGCGTGTTTGTGTTTAGTTATGGGAAATTATTGCCGTTTCCAACGAAATCCTCAGAGAGGTCCAAATATCCACCTGCAGATTCTACCAAAAGTGTATTTGGAAACTGCTCCATCAAAAGGCATGTTCAGCTCTGTGAGTGAAACTCCATCATCACAAAGAATATTCTGAGAATGCTTCCGTTTGCCTTTTATATGAAGTTCCTTCCTATACTACCGTAGGCCTCAAAGCAGTCCAAATCTCCATTTGCAGATTCTACAAAAAGAGTGATTCCAATCTGCTCTATCAATAGGATTGTTCAACTCCATGAGTTGAATGCCATCCTCACAAAGTCGTTTCTGAGTATGCTTCTATCTAGTTTTTATGTGAAGATATTTCCTTTTCCACCACAGGCCTCAAAGCCCTCCAAACGTCCACTTGCAGATTCTCGAAAAAGAGTGTTTCATAGCTGCTCTTTCAAAAGGAAAGTTCAACTCTGGGAGTTGAATACAAACATCACAAAGTAGTTTCCGAGAATGCTTCTGTTTAGTTCTTATGTGAAGATGATCCCGTTTCCAGTGAAATCTTCAAAGAGGTCCACATATCCCCTTGCAGATTCCAAAGAAAGAGGGTTTCAAAACTGCTCCATCAAAAGGATTGTTCAACTCTGTGAGTTGAATGCAGTCATCGCAGAAAACTTTCTGAGAATGCTTCTGTCTAGGTTTGAGGTGAAGATATAGACGTTTCAAACGAAGGCTAAAAAGTGGTCAAAATATACACTTGCAGATTCTACTACAAGGGTGTTGCAAACCTCAACTATCAAAGGAAGGTTCAACTCTGTGAGTTGAATACAAACATCACAAAGAATGTTCTGAGTTTGCTTCCGTTCAGTTATGGGAAGTTGATCCCGTTTCCAACGAAATCCTCAGAGAGGTCCAAATATCCCCTTGCAGATTCTACAAAACGTGTGTTTGGAAACTGCTCCATCATAACGAATGTTCAGCTCTCTGAGTTAAACTCCATCGTCACAAAGAATTTTCTGAGACTGCTACCGTCTACTTTTTATATGAAGTTCTTTCCTTTACTACCACAGGCCTCAAAGCGGTCCAAATCTCCACTTGCAGATTCTACAAAAAGAGTGTTTGCAAATTGCTCTATCAAAAGGAATGTTCAACTCTGGGAGTTGAATGCAATCATCACAGAGCAGTTTCTGAGAATGCTTCTATGTCGTTTTTAGGAGAAGATATTTCCTTTTCCAACACAGTCTTCCAAGCCCGCTTAATAGCCACTTGCACATTGTAGAAAAAGTGTGTCGAAGCTGCGCTATCAAAGGGAAAGTTCAACTCTGTGAGGTGAATGCAAACATCCCAAAGAAGTTTCTGAGAATGCTTCCGTTTAGCTTTTAGGTGAAGATTATCCCGTTTCCAACGAAACCTTCAAAGAGGTCCAAATATCCCCTTGCGGATCCCACAGAAAGAGTGTTTCGAAACTGCTGTTTCAAAAGGAATCTTCAACTCTGTGAGTTGAATGCAATCATCAAAAAGAAGTTTCTGACAATGCTTCTCTCTCGTCTTTCTGTGAAGATAAAGGAAAAGGCTTTCAGGCCTTTTCCACCACAGGCCTGAAAGCGCTCCAAATGTCCACTTGCAGATTCTGCCAAAAGAATATTTCAAAACTGCTCTATGAAAAGCAATGTTAAACTCTGTGGCTCGAACACAAACATCACAAAGCGGTTTCTGAGAATGCTTCAGTTTAGTTTTTCTGTGGAAATATTCCCGTTTCCAAAGAAATCTTCAAAGAGGTCCACGTATCCACTTACAGATTCTACAAAAAGACAGTTTCAAAACTGCTCCATCAAAAGGAGGGTTCAACTGTGTGACTTGAATGCAATCATCACTCAGAAGTTTCTGAGAACGCTTCTGTTTAGTTTTTACGTGAACATATAGCCGTTTCGAACGAAGGCCACCCAGTGGTCCAAATATCCACTTGCAGATTCTACAGAAAGAGTGTTTCGAACCTGAACTCTCAAAGGCAGGTTCATCTCTGCGAGTTCAATGCATTCATCATGAAGAACTTTCTCAGCGTGTTTGTGTTTAGTTATGGGAAATTATTCCCGTTTCCAACGAAATCCTCAGAGAGCTCCAAATATCCACCTGCAGATTCTACCAAAAGTGTATTTGGAAACTGCTCCATGAAAAGGCATGTTCAGCTCTGTGAGTGAAACTCCATCATCACAAAGAATATTCTGAGAATGCTTCCGTTTGCCTTTTATATGAAGTTCCTTCCTATACTACCGTAGGCCTCAAAGCAGTCCAAATCTCCATTTGCAGATTCTACAAAAAGAGTGATTCCAATCTGCTCTATCAATAGGATTGTTCAACTCCATGAGTTGAATGCCATCCTCACAAAGTCGTTTCTGAGAATGCTTCTATCTAGTTTTTATGTGAAGATATTTCCTTTTCCACCACAGGCCTCAAAGCCCTCCAAACGTCCACTTGCAGATTCTCGAAAAAGAGTGTTTCATAGCTGCTCTTTCAAAAGGAATGTTCAACTCTGGGAGTTGAATACAAACATCACAAAGTAGTTTCCGAGAATGCTTCTGTTTAGTTCTTATGTGAAGATGATCCCGTTTCCAGTGAAATCTTCAAAGAGGTCCACATATCCCCTTGCAGATTCCAAAGAAAGAGGGTTTCAAAACTGCTCCATCAAAAGGATTGTTCAACTCTGTGAGTTGAATGCAGTCATCGCAGAAAACTTTCTGAGAATGCTTCTGTCTAGGTTTGATGTGAAGATATAGACGTTTCAAACGAAGGGCTACAAAGTGGTCAAAATATACACTTGCAGATTCTACTACAAGGGTGTTGCAAACCTGAACTATCAATGGAAGGTTCAACTCTGTGAGTTGAATACAAACATCACAAAGAATGTTCTGAGTTTGCTTCCGTTCAGTTATGGGAAGTTGATCCCGTTTCCAACGAAATCATCAGAGAGGTCCAAATATCCCCTTGCAGATTCTACAAAACGTGTGTTTGGAAACTGCTCCATCATAACGAATGTTCAGCTCTCTGAGTTAAACTCCATCGTCACAAAGAATTTTCTGAGAGTGCTACCGTCTGGTTTTTATATGAAGTTCTTTCCTTCACTACCACAGACCTCAAAGCCGTCCAAATCTCCACTTCCAGATTCTACAAAAAGAGTGTTTGCAAACTGCTCTATCAAAAGGAATGTTCAACTCTGGGAGTTGAATGCAATCATCACAGAGCAGTTTCTGAGAATGCTTCTATGTCGTTTTTAGGAGAAGATATTTCCTTTTCCAACACAGTCCTCCAAGCCCGCTAAATAGCCACTTGCACATTGTAGAAAAAGTGTGTCAAAGCTGCGCTATCAAAGGGAAAGTTCAACTCTGTGAGGTGAATGCAAACATCCCAAAGAAGTTTCTGAGAATGCTTCCGTTTAGCTTTTAGGTGAAGATTATCCCGTTTCCAACGAAACCTTCAAAGAGGTCCAAATATCCCCTTGCGGATCCCACAGAAAGAGTGTTTCGAAACTGCTGTTTCAAAAGGAATCTTCAACTCTGTGAGTTGAATGCAATCATCACAAAGAAGTTTCTGACAATGCTTCTCTCTCGTCTTCCTGTGAAGATAAAGGAAAAGGCTTTCAGGCCTTTTCCACCACAGGCCTGAAAGCGCTCCAAATGTCCACTTGCAGATTCTGCCAAAAGAATATTTCAAAACTGCTCTATGAAAAGCAATGTTAAACTCTGTGGCTCGAACACAAACATCACAAAGCAGTTTCTGAGAATGCTTCAGTTTAGTTTTTCTGTGGAAATATTCCCGTTTCCAAAGAAATCTTCAAAGAGGTCCACGTATCCACTTACAGATTCTACAAAAAGACAGTTTCAAAACTGCTCCATCAAAAGGAGGGTTCAACTGTGTGACTTGAATGCAATCATCACTCAGAAGTTTGCTGAGAATGCTTTCTGTGTAGTTTTTACGTGAACATATAGCCGTTTCGAACGAAGGCCACCCAGTGGTCCAAATATCCACTTGCAGATTCTAAAGAAAGAGTGTTTCGAACCTGAACTCTCAAAGGCAGGTTCATCTCTGCGAGTTCAATGCATTCATCATGAAGAACTTTCTCAGCGTGTTTGTGTTTAGTTATGGGAAATTATTCCCGTTTCCAACGAAATCCTCAGAGAGGTCCAAATATCCACCTGCAGATTCTACCAAAAGTGTATTTGGAAACTGCTCCATCAAAAGGCATGTTCAGCTCTGTGAGTGAAACTCCATCATCACAAAGAATATTCTGAAAATGCTTCCGTTTGCCTTTTTATGAAGTTCCTTCCTATACTACCGTAGGCCTCAAAGCAGTCCAAATCTCCATTTGCAGATTCTACAAAAAGAGTGATTCCAATCTGCTCTATCAATAGGATTGTTCAACTCCATGAGTTGAATGCCATCGTCACAAAGTAGTTTCTGAGAATGCTTCTATCTAGTTTTTATGTGAAGATATTTCCTTTTCCACCACAGGCCTCAAAGCCCTCCAAACGTCCACTTGCAGATTCTCGAAAAAGAGTGTTTCATAGCTGCTCTTTCAAAAGGAAAGTTCAACTCTGGGAGTTGAATACAAACATCACAAAGTAGTTTCCGAGAATGCTTCTGTTTAGTTTTTATGTGAAGATGATCCCGTTTCCAGTGAAATCTTCAAAGAGGTCCACATATCCCCTTGCAGATTCCAAAGAAAGAGGGTTTCAAAACTGCTCCATCAGAAGGATTGTTCAACTCTGTGAGTTGAATGCAGTCATCGCAGAAAACTTTCTGAGAATGCTTCTGTCTAGGTTTGATGTGAAGATATAGCATGTTTCAAACGAAGGCTACAAAGTGGTCAAAATATACACTTGCAGATTCTACTACAAGGGTGTTGCAAACCTGAACTATCAAAGGAAGGTTCAACTCTGTGAGTTGAATACAAACATCACAAAGAATGTTCTGAGTTTGCTTCCGTTCAGTTATGGGAAGTTGATCCCGTTTCCAACGAAATCCTCAGAGAGGTCCAAATATCCCCTTGCAGATTCTACAAAACGTGTGTTTGGAAACTGCTCCATCATAACGAATGTTGAGCTCCCTGAGTTAAACTCCATCGTCACAAAGAATTTTCTGAGAGTGCTACCGTCTGGTTTTTATATGAAGTTCTTTCCTTCACTACCACAGGCCTCAAAGCGGTCCAAATCTCCACTTGCAGATTCTACAAAAAGAGTGTTTGCAAACTGCTCTATCAAAAGGAATGTTCAACTCTGGGAGTTGAATGCAATCATCACAGAGCAGTTTCTGAGAATGCTTCTATGTCGTTTTTAGGAGAAGATATTTCCTTTTCCAACACAGTCCTCCAAGCCCGCTAAATAGCCACTTGCACATTGTAGAAAAAGTGTGTCAAAGCTGCGCTATCAAAGGGAAAGTTCAACTCTGTGAGGTGAATGCAAACATCCCAAAGAAGTTTCTGAGAATGCTTCCGTTTAGCTTTTAGGTGAAGATTATCCCGTTTCCAACGAAACCTTCAAAGAGGTCCAAATATCCCCTTGCGGATCCCACAGAAAGAGTGTTTCGAAACTGCTGTTTCAAAAGGAATCTTCAACTCTGTGAGTTGAATGCAATCATCACAAAGAAGTTTCTGACAATGCTTCTCTCTCGTCTTTCTGTGAAGATAAAGGAAAAGGCTTTCAGGCCTTTTCCACCACAGGCCTGAAAGCGCTCCAAATGTCCACTTGCAGATTCTGCGAAAAGAATATTTCAAAACTGCTCTATGAAAAGCAATGTTAAACTCTGTGGCTCGAACACAAACATCACAAAGCAGTTTCTGAGAATGCTTCAGTTTAGTTTTTCTGTGGAAATATTCCCGTTTCAAAGAAATCTTCAAAGAGGTCCACGTATCCACTTACAGATTCTACAAAAAGACAGTTTCAAAACTGCTCCATCAAAAGGAGGGTTCAACTGTGTGACTTGAATGCAATCATCACTCAGAAGTTTCTGAGAATGCTTCTCTTTAGTTTTTACGTGAACATATACCCGTTTCGAACGAAGGCCAGCCAGTGGTCCAAATATCCACTTGCAGATTCTACAGAAAGAGTGTTTCGAACCTGAACTCTCAAAGGCAGGTTCATCTCTGCGAGTTAAATGCATTCATCATGAAGAACTTTCTCAGAGTGTTTGTGTTTAGTTATGGGAAATTATTCCCGTTTCCAACGAAATCCTCAGAGAGCTCCAAATATCCACCTGCAGATTCTACCAAAAGTGTATTTGGAAACTGCTCCATCAAAAGGCATGTTCAGCTCTGTGAGTGAAACTCCATCATCACAAAGAATATTCTGAGAATGCTTCCGTTTGCCTTTTATATGAACTTCCTTCCTATACTACCGTAGGCCTCAAAGCAGTCCAAATCTCCATTTGCAGATTCTACAAAAAGAGTGATTCCAATCTGCTCTATCAATAGGATTGTTCAACTCCATGAGTTGAATGCCATCCTCACAAAGTCGTTTCTGAGAATGCTTCTATCTAGTTTTAATGTGAAGATATTTCCTTTTCCACCACAGGCCTCAAAGCCCTCCAAACGTCCACTTGCAGATTCTCGAAAAAGAGTGTTTCATAGCTGCTCTTTCAAAAGGAAAGTTCAACTCTGGGAGTTGAATACAAACATCACAAAGTAGTTTCCGAGAATGCTTCTGTTTAGTTTTTATGTGAAGATGATCCCGTTTCCAGTGAAATCTTCAAAGAGGTCCACATATCCCCTTGCAGATTCCAAAGAAAGAGGGTTTCAAAACTGCTCCATCAGAAGGATTGTTCAACTCTGTGAGTGGAATGCAGTCATCGCAGAAAACTTTCTGAGAATGCTTCTGTCTAGGTTTGATGTGAAGATATAGACGTTTCAAACGAAGGCTACAAAGTGGTCAAAATATACACTTGCAGATTCTACTACAAGGGTGTTGCAAACCTGAACTATCAAAGGAAGGTTCAACTCTGTGAGTTGAATACAAACATCACAAAGAATGTTCTGAGTTTGCTTCCGTTCAGTTATGGGAAGTTGATCCCGTTTCCAACGAAATCCTCAGAGAGGTCCAAATATCCCCTTGCAGATTCTACAAAACGTGTGTTTGGAAACTGCTCCATCATAACGAATGTTCAGCTCCCTGAGTTAAACTCCATCGTCACAAAGAATTTTCTGAGAGTGCTACCGTCTGGTTTTTATATGAAGTTCTTTCCTTCACTACCACAGGCCTCAAAGCGGTCCAAATCTCCACTTGCAGATTCTACAAAAAGAGTGTTTGCAAACTGCTCTATCAAAAGGAATGTTCAACTCTGGGAGTTGAATGCAATCATCACAGAGCAGTTTCTGAGAATGCTTCTATGTCGTTTTTAGGAGAAGATAATTCCTTTTCCAACACAGTCCTCCAAGCCCGCTAAATAGCTACTTGCACATTGTAGAAAAAGTGTGTCAAAGCTGCGCTATCAAAGGGAAAGTTCAACTCTGTGAGGTGAATGCAAACATCCCAAAGAAGTTTCTGAGAATGCTTCCGTTTAGCTTTTAGGTGAAGATTATCCCGTTTCCAACGAAACCTTCAAAGAGGTCCAAATATCCCCTTGCGGATCCCACAGAAAGAGTGTTTCGAAACTGCTGTTTCAAAAGGAATCTTCAACTCTGTGAGTTGAATGCAATCATCACAAAGAAGTTTCTGACAATGCTTCTCTCTCGTCTTTCTGTGAAGATAAAGGAAAAGGCTTTCAGGCCTTTTCCACCACAGGCCTGAAAGCGCTCCAAATGTCCACTTGCAGATTCTGCCAAAAGAATATTTCAAAACTGCTCTATGAAAAGCAATGTTAAACTCTGTGGCTCGAACACAAACATCACAAAGCGGTTTCTGAGAATGCTTCAGTTTAGTTTTTCTGTGGAAATATTCCCGTTTCCAAAGAAATCTTCAAAGAGGTCCACGTATCCACTTACAGATTCTACAAAAAGACAGTTTCAAAACTGCTCCATCAAAAGGAGGGTTCAACTGTGTGACTTGAATGCAATCATCACTCACAAGTTTCTGAGAATGCTTCTCTTTAGTTTTTACGTGAACATATACCCGTTTCGAACGAAGGCCAGCCAGTGGTCCAAATATCCACTTGCAGATTCTACAGAAAGAGTGTTTCGAACATGAACTCTCAAAGGCAGGTTCATCTCTGCGAGTTAAATGCATTCATCATGAAGAACTTTCTCAGAGTGTTTGTGTTTAGTTATGGGAAATTATTCCCGTTTCCAACGAAATCCTCAGAGAGGTCCAAATATCCACCTGCAGATTCTACCAAAAGTGTATTTGGAAACTGCTCCATCAAAAGGCATGTTCAGCTCTGTGAGTGAAACTCCATCATCACAAAGAATATTCTGAGAATGCTTCCGTTTGCCTTTTATATGAAGTTCCTTCCTATACGACCGTAGGCCTCAAAGCAGTCCAAATCTCCATTTGCAGATTCTACAAAAAGAGTGATTCCAATCTGCTCTATCAATAGGATTGTTCAACTCCATGAGTTGAATGCCATCCTCACAAAGTAGTTTCTGAGAATGCTTCTATCTAGTTTTTATGTGAAGATATTTCCTTTTCCACCACAGGCCTCAAAGCCCTCCAAACGTCCACTTGCAGATTCTCGAAAAAGAGTGTTTCATAGCTGCTCTTTCAAAAGGAAAGTTCAACTCTGGGAGTTGAATACAAACATCACAAAGTAGTTTCCGAGAATGCTTCTGTTTAGTTTTTATGTGAAGATGATCCCGTTTCCAGTGAAATCTTCAAAGAGGTCCACATATCCCCTTGCAGATTCCAAAGAAAGAGGGTTTCAAAACTGCTCCATCAGAAGGATTGTTCAACTCTGTGAGTTGAATGCAGTCATCGCAGAAAACTTTCTGAGAATGCTTCTGTCTAGGTTTGATGTGAAGATATAGACGTTTCAAACGAAGGCTACAAAGTGGTCAAAATATACACTTGCAGATTCTACTACAAGGGTGTTGCAAACCTGAACTATCAAAGGAAGGTTCAACTCTGTGAGTTGAATACAAACATCACAAAGAATGTTCTGAGTTTGCTTCCGTTCAGTTATGGGAAGTTGATCCCGTTTCCAACGAAATCCTCAGAGAGGTCCAAATATCCCCTTGCAGATTCTACAAAACGTGTGTTTGGAAACTGCTCCATCATAACGAATGTTCAGCTCCCTGAGTTAAACTCCATCGTCACAAAGAATTTTCTGAGAGTGCTACCGTCTGGTTTTTATATGAAGTTCTTTCCTTCACTACCACAGGCCTCAAAGCGGTCCAAATCTCCACTTGCAGATTCTACAAAAAGAGTGTTTGCAAACTGCTCTATCAAAAGGAATGTTCAACTCTGGGAGTTGAATGCAATCATCACAGAGCAGTTTCTGAGAATGCTTCTATGTCGTTTTTAGGAGAAGATATTTCCTTTTCCAACACAGTCCTCCAAGCCCGCTAAATAGCCACTTGCACATTGTAGAAAAAGTGTGTCAAAGCTGCGCTATCAAAGGGAAAGTTCAACTCTGTGAGGTGAATGCAAACATCCCAAAGAAGTTTCTGAGAATGCTTCCGTTTAGCTTTTAGGTGAAGATTATCCCGTTTCCAACGAAACCTTCAAAGAGGTCCAAATATCCCCTTGCGGATCCCACAGAAAGAGTGTTTCGAAACTGCTGTTTCAAAAGGAATCTTCAACTCTGTGAGTTGAATGCAATCATCACAAAGAAGTTTCTGACAATGCTTCTCTCTCGTCTTTCTGTGAAGATAAAGGAAAAGGCTTTCAGGCCTTTTCCCAACCACAGGCCTGAAAGCGCTCCAAATGTCCACTTGCAGATTCTGCCAAAAGAATATTTCAAAACTGCTCTATGAAAAGCAATGTTAAACTCTGTGGCTCGAACACAAACATCACAAAGCAGTTTCTGAGAATGCTTCAGTTTAGTTTTTCTGTGGAAATATTCCCGTTTCCAAAGAAATCTTCAAAGAGGTCCACGTATCCACTTACAGATTCTACAAAAAGACAGTTTCAAAACTGCTCCATCAAAAGGAGGGTTCAACTGTGTGACTTGAATGCAATCATCACTCAGAAGTTTCTGAGAATGCTTCTCTTTAGTTTTTACGTGAACATATACCCGTTTCGAACGAAGGCCACCCAGTGGTCCAAATATCCACTTGCAGATTCTACAGAAAGAGTGTTTCGAACCTGAACTCTCAAAGGCAGGTTCATCTCTGCGAGTTAAATGCATTCATCATGAAGAACTTTCTCAGAGTGTTTGTGCTTAGTTATGGGAAATTATTCCCGTTTCCAACGAAATCCTCAGAGTGGTCCAAATATCCACCTGCAGATTCTACCAAAAGTGTATTTGGAAACTGCTCCATCAAAAGGCATGTTCAGCTCTGTGAGTGAAACTCCATCATCACAAAGAATATTCTGAGAATGCTTCCGTTTGCCTTTTATCTGAAGTTCCTTCCTATACGACCGTAGGCCTCAAAGCAGTCCAAATCTCCATTTGCAGATTCTACAAAAAGAGTGATTCCAATCTGCTCTATCAATAGGATTGTTCAACTCCATGAGTTGAATGCCATCCTCCAAAGTCGTTTCTGAGAATGCTTCTATCTAGTTTTTATGTGAAGATATTTCCTTTTCCACCACAGGCCTCAAAGCCCTCCAAACGTCCACTTGCAGATTCTCGAAAAAGAGTGTTTCATAGCTGCTCTTTCAAAAGGAAAGTTCAACTCTGGCAGTTGAATACAAACATCACAAAGTAGTTTCCGAGAATGCTTCTGTTTAGTTTTTATGTGAAGATGATCCCGTTTCCAGTGAAATCTTCAAAGAGGTCCACATATCCCCTTGCAGATTCCAAAGAAAGAGGGTTTCAAAACTGCTCCATCAGAAGGATTGTTCAACTCTGTGAGTTGAATGCAGTCATCGCAGAAAACTTTCTGAGAATGCTTCTTTCTAGGTTTGATGTGAAGATATAGACGTTTCAAACGAAGGCTACAAAGTGGTCAAAATATACACTTGCAGATTCTACTACAAGGGTGTTGCAAACCTGAACTATCAAAGGAAGGTTCAACTCTGTGAGTTGAATACAAACATCACAAAGAATGTTCTGAGTTTGCTTCCGTTCAGTTATGGGAAGTTGATCCCGTTTCCAACGAAATCCTCAGAGAGGTCCAAATATCCCCTTGCAGATTCTACAAAACGTGTGTTTGGAAACTGCTCCATCATAACGAATGTTCAGCTCCCTGAGTTAAACTCCATCGTCACAAAGAATTTTCTGAGAGTGCTACCGTCTGGTTTTTATATGAAGTTCTTTCCTTCACTACCACAGGCCTCAAAGCGGTCCAAATCTCCACTTGCAGATTCTACAAAAAGAGTGTTTGCAAACTGCTCTATCAAAAGGAATGTTCAACTCTGGGAGTTGAATGCAATCATCACAGAGCAGTTTCTGAGAATGCTTCTATGTCGTTTTTAGGAGAAGATATTTCCTTTTCCAACACAGTCCTCCAAGCCCGCTAAATAGCCACTTGCACATTGTAGAAAAAGTGTGTCAAAGCTGCGCTATCAAAGGGAAAGTTCAACTCTGTGAGGTGAATGCAAACATCCCAAAGAAGTTTCTGAGAATGCTTCCGTTTAGCTTTTAGGTGAAGATTATCCCGTTTCCAACGAAACCTTCAAAGAGGTCCAAATATCCCCTTGCGGATCCCACAGAAAGAGTGTTTCGAAACTGCTGTTTCAAAAGGAATCTTCAACTCTGTGAGTTGAATGCAATCATCACAAAGAAGTTTCTGACAATGCTTCTCTCTCGTCTTTCTGTGAAGATAAAGGAAAAGGCTTTCAGGCCTTTTCCACCACAGGCCTGAAAGCGCTCCAAATGTCCACTTGCAGATTCTGCCAAAAGAATATTTCAAAACTGCTCTATGAAAAGCAATGTTAAACTCTGTGGCTCGATCACAAACATCACAAAGCGGTTTCTGAGAATACTTCAGTTTAGTTTTTCTGTGGAAATATTCCCGTTTCCAAAGAAATCTTCAAAGAGGTCCACGTATCCACTTACAGATTCTACAAAAAGACAGTTTCAAAACTGCTCCATCAAAAGGAGGGTTCAACTGTGTGACTTGAATGCAATCATCACTCAGAAGTTTCTGAGAATGCTTCTCTTTAGTTTTTACGTGAACATATACCCGTTTCGAACGAAGGCCAGCCAGTGGTCCAAATATCCACTTGCAGATTCTACAGAAAGAGTGTTTCGAACCTGAACTCTCAAAGGCAGGTTCATCTCTGCGAGTTAAATGCATTCATCATGAAGAACTTTCTCAGAGTGTTTGTGTTTAGTTATGGGAAATTATTCCCGTTTCCAACGAAATCCTCAGAGAGGTCCAAATATCCACCTGCAGATTCTACCAAAAGTGTATTTGGAAACTGCTCCATCAAAAGGCATGTTCAGCTCTGTGAGTGAAACTCCATCATCACAAAGAATATTCTGAGAATGCTTCCGTTTGCCTTTTATATGAAGTTCCTTCCTATACGACCGTAGGCCTCAAAGCAGTCCAAATCTCCATTTGCAGATTCTACAAAAAGAGTGATTCCAATCTGCTCTATCAATAGGATTGTTCAACTCCATGAGTTGAATGCCATCCTCACAAAGTCGGTTCTGAGAATGCTTCTATCTAGTTTTTATGTGAAGATATTTCCTTTTCCACCACAGGCCTCAAAGCCCTCCAAACGTCCACTTGCAGATTCTCGAAAAAGAGTGTTTCATAGCTGCTCTTTCAAAAGGAAAGTTCAACTCTGGGAGTTGAATACAAACATCACAAAGTAGTTTCCGAGAATGCTTCTGTTTAGTTTTTATGTGAAGATGATCCCGTTTCCAGTGAAATCTTCAAAGAGGTCCCACATATCCCCTTGCAGATTCCAAAGAAAGAGGGTTTCAAAACTGCTCCATCAAAAGGATTGTTCAACTCTGTGAGTTGAATGCAGTCATCGCAGAAAACTTTCTGAGAATGCTTCTGTCTAGGTTTGATGTGAAGATATAGACCTTTCAAACGAAGGCTACAAAGTGGTCAAAATATACACTTGCAGATTCTACTACAAGGGTGTTGCAAACCTGAACTATCAAAGGAAGGTTCAACTCTGTGAGTTGAATACAAACATCACAAAGAATGTTCTGAGTTTGCTTCCGTTCAGTTATGGGAAGTTGATCCCGTTTCCAACGAAATCCTCAGAGAGGTCCAAATATCCCCTTGCAGATTCTACAAAACGTGTGTTTGGAAACTGCTCCATCATAACGAATGTTCAGCTCCCTGAGTTAAACTCCATCGTCACAAAGAATTTTCTGAGAGTGCTACCGTCTGGTTTTTATATGAAGTTCTTTCCTTCACTACCACAGGCCTCAAAGCGGTCCAAATCTCCACTTGCAGATTCTACAAAAAGAGTGTTTGCAAACTGCTCTATCAAAAGGAATGTTCAACTCTGGGAGTTGAATGCAATCATCACAGAGCAGTTTCTGAGAATGCTTCTATGTCGTTTTTAGGAGAAGATATTTCCTTTTCCAACACAGTCCCCCAAGCCCGCTAAATAGCCACTTGCACATTGTAGAAAAAGTGTGTCAAAGCTGCGCTATCAAAGGGAAAGTTCAACTCTGTGAGGTGAATGCAAACATCCCAAAGAAGTTTCTGAGAATGCTTCCGTTTAGCTTTTAGGTGAAGATTATCCCGTTTCCAACGAAACCTTCAAAGAGGTCCAAATATCCCCTTGCGGATCCCACAGAAAGAGTGTTTCGAAACTGCTGTTTCAAAAGGAATCTTCAACTCTGTGAGTTGAATGCAATCATCACAAAGAAGTTTCTGACAATGCTTCTCTCTCGTCTTTCTGTGAAGATAAAGGAAAAGGCTTTCAGGCCTTTGCCACCACAGGCCTGAAAGCGCTCCAAATGTCCACTTGCAGATTCTGCGAAAAGAATATTTCAAAACTGCTCTATGAAAAGCAATGTTAAACTCTGTGGCTCGAACACAAACATCACAAAGCGGTTTCTGAGAATGCTTCAGTTTAGTTTTTCTGTGGAAATATTCCCGTTTCCAAAGAAATCTTCAAAGAGGTCCACGTATCCACTTACAGATTCTACAAAAAGACAGTTTCAAAACTGCTCCATCAATAGGAGGGTTCAACTGTGTGACTTGAATGCAATCATCACTCAGAAGTTTCTGAGAATGCTTCTCTTTAGTTTTTACGTGAACATATACCCGTTTCGAACGAAGGCCACCCAGTGGTCCAAATATCCACTTGCAGATTCTACAGAAAGAGTGTTTCGAACCTGAACTCTCAAAGGCAGGTTCATCTCTGCGAGTTAAATGCATTCATCATGAAGAACTTTCTCAGAGTGTTTGTGTTTAGTTATGGGAAATTATTCCCGTTTCCAAAGAAATCCTCAGAGAGCTCCAAATATCCACCTGCAGATTCTACCAAAAGTGTATTTGGAAACTGCTCCATCAAAAGGCATGTTCAGCTCTGTGAGTGAAACTCCATCATCACAAAGAATATTCTGAGAATGCTTCCGTTTGCCTTTTATATGAAGTTCCTTCCTATACGACCGTAGGCCTCAAAGCAGTCCAAATCTCCATTTGCAGATTCTACAAAAAGAGTGATTCCAATCTGCTCTATCAATAGGATTGTTCAACTCCATGAGTTGAATGCCATCCTCACAAAGTAGTTTCTGAGAATGCTTCTATCTAGTTTTTATGTGAAGATATTTCCTTTTCCACCACAGGCCTCAAAGCCCTCCAAACGTCCACTTGCAGATTCTCGAAAAAGAGTGTTTCATAGCTGCTCTTTCAAAAGGAAAGTTCAACTCTGGGAGTTGAATACAAACATCACAAAGTAGTTTCCGAGAATGCTTCTGTTTAGTTTTTATGTGAAGATGATCCCGTTTCCAGTGAAATCTTCAAAGAGGTCCACATATCCCCTTGCAGATTCCAAAGAAAGAGGGTTTCAAAACTGCTCCATCAGAAGGATTGTTCAACTCTGTGAGTTGAATGCAGTCATCGCAGAAAACTTTCTGAGAATGCTTCTGTCTAGGTTTGATGTGAAGGTATAGACGTTTCAAACGAAGGCTACAAAGTGGTCAAAATATACACTTGCAGATTCTACTACAAGGGTGTTGCAAACCTGAACTATCAAAGGAAGGTTCAACTCTGTGAGTTGAATACAAACATCACAAAGAATGTTCTGAGTTTGCTTCCGTTCAGTTATGGGAAGTTGATCCCGTTTCCAACGAAATCCTCAGAGAGGTCCAAATATCCCCTTGCAGATTCTACAAAACGTGTGTTTGGAAACTGCTCCATCATAACGAATGTTCAGCTCCCTGAGTTAAACTCCATCGTCACAAAGAATTTTCTGAGAGTGCTACCGTCTGGTTTTTATATGAAGTTCTTTCCTTCACTACCACAGGCCTCAAAGCGGTCCAAATCTCCACTTGCAGATTCTACAAAAAGAGTGTTTGCAAACTGCTCTATCAAAAGGAATGTTCAACTCTGGGAGTTGAATGCAATCATCACAGAGCAGTTTCTGAGAATGCTTCTATGTCGTTTTTAGGAGAAGATATTTCCTTTTCCAACACAGTCCTCCAAGCCCGCTAAATAGCCACTTGCACATTGTAGAAAAAGTGTGTCAAAGCTGCGCTATCAAAGGGAAAGTTCAACTCTGTGAGGTGAATGCAAACATCCCAAAGAAGTTTCTGAGAATGCTTCCGTTTAGCTTTTAGGTGAAGATTATCCCGTTTCCAACGAAACCTTCAAAGAGGTCCAAATATCCCCTTGCGGATCCCACAGAAAGAGTGTTTCAAAACTGCTGTTTCAAAAGGAATCTTCAACTCTGTGAGTTGAATGCAATCATCACAAAGAAGTTTCTGACAATGCTTCTCTCTCGTCTTTCTGTGAAGATAAAGGAAAAGGCTTTCAGGCCTTTTCCACCACAGGCCTGAAAGCGCTCCAAATGTCCACTTGCAGATTCTGCGAAAAGAATATTTCAAAACTGCTCTATGAAAAGCAATGTTAAACTCTGCGGCTCGAACACAAACATCACAAAGCGGTTTCTGAGAATGCTTCAGTTTAGTTTTTCTGTGGAAATATTCCCGTTTCCAAAGAAATCTTCAAAGAGGTCCACGCATCCACTTACAGATTCTACAAAAAGACAGTTTCAAAACTGCTCCATCAAAAGGAGGGTTCAACCGTGTGACTTGAATGCAATCATCACTCAGAAGTTTCTGAGAATGCTTCTCTTTAGTTTTTACGTGAACATATACCCGTTTCGAACGAAGGCCACCCAGTGGTCCAAATATCCACTTGCAGATTATACAGAAAGAGTGTTTCGAACCTGAACTCTCAAAGGCAGGTTCATCTCTGCGAGTTAAATGCATTCATCATGAAGAACTTTCTCAGAGTGTTTGTGTTTAGTTATGGGAAATTATTCCCGTTTCCAACGAAATCCTCAGAGAGCTCCAAATATCCACCTGCAGATTCTACCAAAAGTGTATTTGGAAACTGCTCCATCAAAAGGCATGTTCAGCTCTGTGAGTGAAACTCCATCATCACAAAGAATATTCTGAGAATGCTTCCGTTTGCCTTTTATATGAAGTTCCTTCCTGTACTACCGTAGGCCTCAAAGCAGTCCAAATCTCCATTTGCAGATTCTACAAAAAGAGTGATTCCAATCTGCTCTATCAATAGGATTGTTCAACTCCATGAGTTGAATGCCATCCTCACAAAGTAGTTTCTGAGAATGCTTCTATCTGGTTTTTGTGTGAAGATATTTCCTTTTCCACCACAGGCCTCAAAGCCCTCCAAACGTCCACTTGCAGATTCTCGAAAAAGAGTGTTTCATAGCTGCTCTTTCAAAAGGAAAGTTCAATTCTGGGAGTTGAATACAAACATCACAAAATAGTTTCCGAGAATGCTTCTGTTTAGTTTTTATGTGAAGATGATCCCGTTTCCAGTGAAATCTTCAAAGAGGTCCACATATCCCCTTGCAGATTCCAAAGAAAGAGGGTTTCAAAACTGCTCCATCAGAAGGATTGTTCAACTCTGTGAGTTGAATGCAGTCATCGCAGAAAACTTTCTGAGAATGCTTCTGTCTAGGTTTGATGTGAAGATATAGACGTTTCAAACGAAGGCTACAAAGTGGTCAAAATATACACTTGCAGATTCTACTACAAGGGTGTTGCAAACCTGAACTATCAAAGGAAGGTTCAACTCTGTGAGTTGAATACAAACATCACAAAGAATGTTCTGAGTTTGCT
This sequence comes from Homo sapiens, assembly GCF_000001405.40. Taxonomy (NCBI): domain Eukaryota; kingdom Metazoa; phylum Chordata; class Mammalia; order Primates; family Hominidae; genus Homo; species Homo sapiens. The sequence continues at coordinate 58,627,527 of NC_000023.11, read as the reverse complement.
TCCGTTCAGTTATGGGAAGTTGATCCCGTTTCCAACGAAATCCTCAGAGAGGTCCAAATATCCCCTCACAGATTCTACAAAACGTGTGTTTGGAAACTGCTCCATCATAACGAATGTTCAGCTCCGTGAGTTAAACTCCATCGTCACAAAGAATTTTCTGAGAGTGCTACCGTCTGGTTTTTATATGAAGTTCTTTCCTTCACTACCACAGGCCTCAAAGCGGTCCAAATCTCCACTTGCAGATTCTACAAAAAGAGTGTTTGCAAACTGCTCTATCAAAAGGAATGTTCAACTCTGGGAGTTGAATGCAATCATCACAGAGCAGTTTCTGAGAATGCTTCTATGTCGTTTTTAGGAGAAGATATTTCCTTTTCCAACACAGTCCTCCAAGCCCGCTAAATAGCCACTTGCACATTGTAGAAAAAGTGTGTCAAAGCTGCGCTATCAAAGGGAAAGTTCAACTCTGTGAGGTGAATGCAAACATCCCAAAGAAGTTTCTGAGAATGCTTCCGTTTAGCTTTTAGGTGAAGATTATCCCGTTTCCAACGAAACCTTCAAAGAGGTCCAAATATCCCCTTGCGGATCCCACAGAAAGAGTGTTTCGAAACTGCTGTTTCAAAAGGAATCTTCAACTCTGTGAGTTGAATGCAATCATCACAAAGAAGTTTCTGACAATGCTTCTCTCTCGTCTTTCTGTGAAGATAAAGGAAAAGGCTTTCAGGCCTTTTCCACCACAGGCCTGAAAGCGCTCCAAATGTCCACTTGCAGATTCTGCCAAAAGAATATTTAAAAACTGCTCTATGAAAAGCAATGTTAAACTCTGTGGCTCGAACACAAACATCACAAAGCGGTTTCTGAGAATGCTTCAGTTTAGTTTTTCTGTGGAAATATTCCCGTTTCCAAAGAAATCTTCAAAGAGGTCCACGTATCCACTTACAGATTCTACAAAAAGACAGTTTCAAAACTGCTCCATCAAAAGGAGGGTTCAACTGTGTGACTTGAATGCAATCATCACTCAGAAGTTTCTGAGAATGCTTCTCTTTAGTTTTTACGTGAACATATACCCGTTTCGAACGAAGGCCACCCAGTGGTCCAAATATCCACTTGCAGATTCTACAGAAAGAGTGTTTCGAACCTGAACTCTCAAAGGCAGGTTCATCTCTGCGAGTTAAATGCATTCATCATGAAGAACTTTCTCAGAGTGTTTGTGTTTAGTTATGGGAAATTATTCCCGTTTCCAACGAAATCCTCAGAGAGCTCCAAATATCCACCTGCAGATTCTACCAAAAGTGTATTTGGAAACTGCTCCATCAAAAGGCATGTTCAGCTCTGTGAGTGAAACTACATCATCACAAAGAATATTCTGAGAATGCTTCCGTTTGCCTTTTATATGAAGTTCCTTCCTATACGACCGTAGGCCTCAAAGCAGTCCAAATCTCCATTTGCAGATTCTACAAAAAGAGTGATTCCAATCTGCTCTATCAATAGGACTGTTCAACTCCATGAGTTGAATGCCATCCTCACAAAGTCGTTTCTGAGAATGCTTCTATCTAGTTTTTATGTGAAGATATTTCCTTTTCCACCACAGGCCTCAAAGCCCTCCAAACGTCCACTTGCAGATTCTCGAAAAAGAGTGTTTCATAGCTGCTCTTTCAAAAGGAAAGTTCAACTCTGGGAGTTGAATACAAACATCACAAAGTAGTTTCCGAGAATGCTTCTGTTTAGTTTTTATGTGAAGATGATCCCGTTTCCAGTGAAATCTTCAAAGAGGTCCACATATCCCCTTGCAGATTCCAAAGAAAGAGGGTTTCAAAACTGCTCCATCAGAAGGATTGTTCAACTCTGTGAGTTGAATGCAGTCATCGCAGAAAACTTTCTGAGAATGCTTCTGTCTAGGTTTGATGTGAAGATATAGACGTTTCAAACGAAGGCTACAAAGTGGTCAAAATATACACTTGCAGATTCTACTACAAGGGTGTTGCAAACCTGAACTATCAAAGGAAGGTTCAACTCTGTGAGTTGAATACAAACATCACAAAGAATGTTCTGAGTTTGCTTCCGTTCAGTTATGGGAAGTTGATCCCGTTTCCAACGAAATCCTCAGAGAGGTCCAAATATCCCCTTGCAGATTCTACAAAACGTGTGTTTGGAAACTGCTCCATCATAACGAATGTTCAGCTCCCTGAGTTAAACTCCATCGTCACAAAGAATTTTCTGAGAGTGCTACCGTCTGGTTTTTATATGAAGTTCTTTCCTTCACTACCACAGGCCTCAAAGCGGTCCAAATCTCCACTTGCAGATTCTACAAAAAGAGTGTTTGCAAACTGCTCTATCAAAAGGAATGTTCAACTCTGGGAGTTGAATGCAATCATCACAGAGCAGTTTCTGAGAATGCTTCTATGTCGTTTTTAGGAGAAGATATTTCCTTTTCCAACACAGTCCTCCAAGCCCGCTAAATAGCCACTTGCACATTGTAGAAAAAGTGTGTCAAAGCTGCGCTATCAAAGGGAAAGTTCAACTCTGTGAGGTGAATGCAAACATCCCAAAGAAGTTTCTGAGAATGCTTCCGTTTAGCTTTTAGGTGAAGATTATCCCGTTTCCAACGAAACCTTCAAAGAGGTCCAAATATCCCCTTGCGGATCCCACAGAAAGAGTGTTTCGAAACAGCTGTTTCAAAAGGAATCTTCAACTCTGTGAGTTGAATGCAATCATCACAAAGAAGTTTCTGACAATGCTTCTCTCTCGTCTTTCTGTGAAGATAAAGGAAAAGGCTTTCAGGCCTTTGCCACCACAGGCCTGAAAGCGCTCCAAATGTCCACTTGCAGATTCTGCGAAAAGAATATTTCAAAACTGCTCTATGAAAAGCAATGTTAAACTCTGTGGCTCGAACACAAACATCACAAAGCAGTTTCTGAGAATGCTTCAGTTTAGTTTTTCTGTGGAAATATTCCCGTTTCCAAAGAAATCTTCAAAGAGGTCCACGTATCCACTTACAGATTCTACAAAAAGACAGTTTCAAAACTACTCCATCAAAAGGAGGGTTCAACTATGTGACTTGAATGCAATCATCACTCAGAAGTTTCTGAGAATGCTTCTTTTTAGTTTTTATGTGAACATATACCCGTTTCGAACGAAGGCCACCCAGTGGTCCAAATATCCACTTGCAGATTCTACAGAAAGAGTGTTTCGAACCTGAACTCTCAAAGGCAGGTTCATCTCTGCGAGTTAAATGCATTCATCATGAAGAACTTTCTCAGAGTGTTTGTGTTTAGTTATGGGAAATTATTCCTGTTTCCAACGAAATCCTCAGAGAGCTCCAAATATCCACCTGCAGATTCTACCAAAAGTGTATTTGGAAACTGCTCCATCAAAAGGCATGTTCAGCTCTGTGAGTGAAACTCCATCATCACAAAGAATATTCTGAGAATGCTTCCGTTTGCCTTTTATATGAAGTTCCTTCCTATACTACCGTAGGCCTCAAAGCAGTCCAAATCTCCATTTGCAGATTCTACAAAAAGAGTGATTCCAATCTGCTCTATCAATAGGATTGTTCAACTCCATGAGTTGAATTCCATCCTCACAATGTCGTTTGTGAGAATGCTTCTATCTAGTTTTTATGTGAAGATATTTCCTTTTCCACCACAGGCCTCAAAGCCCTCCAAACGTCCACTTGCAGATTCTCGAAAAAGAGTGTTTCATAGCTGCTCTTTCAAAAGGAAAGTTCAACTCTGGGAGTTGAATACAAACATCACAAAGTAGTTTCCGAGAATGCTTCTGTTTAGTTTTTATGTGAAGATGATCCCGTTTCCAGTGAAATCTTCAAAGAGGTCCACATATCCCCTTGCAGATTCCAAAGAAAGAGGGTTTCAAAACTGCTCCATCAGAAGGATTGTTCAACTCTGTGAGTTGAATGCAGTCATCGCAGAAAACTTTCTGAGAATGCTTCTGTCTAGGTTTGATGTGAAGATATAGACGTTTCAAACGAAGGCTACAAAGTGGTCAAAATATACACTTGCAGATTCTACTACAAGGGTGTTGCAAACCTGAACTATCAAAGGAAGGTTCAACTCTGTGAGTTGAATACAAACATCACAAAGAATGTTCTGAGTTTGCTTCCGTTCAGTTATGGGAAGTTGATCCCGTTTCCAACGAAATCCTCAGAGAGGTCCAAATATCCCCTTGCAGATTCTACAAAACGTGTGTTTGGAAACTGCTCCATCATAACGAATGTTCAGCTCCCTGAGTTAAACTCCATCGTCACAAAGAATTTTCTGAGAGTGCTACCGTCTGGTTTTTATATGAAGTTCTTTCCTTCACTACCACAGGCCTCAAAGCAGTCCAAATCTCCACTTGCAGATTCTACAAAAAGAGTGTTTGCAAACTGCTCTATCAAAAGGAATGTTCAACTCTGGGAGTTGAATGCAATCATCACAGAGCAGTTTCTGAGAATGCTTCTATGTCGTTTTTAGGAGAAGATATTTCCTTTTCCAACACAGTCCTCCAAGCCCGCTAAATAGCCACTTGCACATTGTAGAAAAAGTGTGTCAAAGCTGCGCTATCAAAGGGAAAGTTCAACTCTGTGAGGTGAATGCAAACATCCCAAAGAAGTTTCTGAGAATGCTTCCGTTTAGCTTTTAGGTGAAGATTATCCCGTTTCCAACGAAACCTTCAAAGAGGTCCAAATATCCCCTTGCGGATCCCACAGAAAGAGTGTTTCGAAACTGCTGTTTCAAAAGGAATCTTCAACTCTGTGAGTTGAATGCAATCATCACAAAGAAGTTTCTGACAATGCTTCTCTCTCGTGTTTCTGTGAAGATAAAGGAAAAGGCTTTCAGGCCTTTTCCACCACAGGCCTGAAAGCGCTCCAAATGTCCACTTGCAGATTCTGCGAAAAGAATATTTCAAAACTGCTCTATGAAAAGCAATGTTAAACTCTGTGGCTGGAACACAAACATCACAAAGCGGTTTCTGAGAATGCTTCAGTTTAGTTTTTCTGTGGAAATATTCCCGTTTCCAAAGAAATCTTCAAAGAGGTCCACGTATCCACTTACAGATTCTACAAAAAGACAGTTTCAAAACTGCTCAATCAAAAGGAGGGTTCAACTGTGTGACTTGAATGCAATCATCACTCAGATGTTTCTGAGAACGCTTCTCTTTAGTTTTTACGTGAACATATACCCGTTTCGAACGAAGGCCAGCCAGTGGTCCAAATATCCACTTGCAGATTCTACAGAAAGAGTGTTTCGAACCTGAACTCTCAAAGGCAGGTTCATCTCTGCGAGTTAAATGCATTCATCATGAAGAACTTTCTCAGCGTGTTTGTGTTTAGTTATGGGAAATTATTCCCGTTTCCAACGAAATCCTCAGAGAGGTCCAAATATCCACCTTCAGATTCTACCAAAAGTGTATTTGGAAACTGCTCCATCAAAAGGCATGTTCAGCTCTGTGAGTGAAACTCCATCATCACAAAGAATATTCTGAGAATGCTTCCGTTTGCCTTTTATATGAAGTTCCTTCCTATACTACCGTAGGCCTCAAAGCAGTCCAAATCTCCATTTGCAGATTCTACAAAAAGAGTGATTCCAATCTGCTCTATCAATAGGATTGTTCAACTCCATGAGTCGAATGCCATCCTCATAAAGTAGTTTCTGAGAATGCTTCTATCTAGTTTTTATGTGAAGATATTTCCTTTTCCACCACAGGCCTCAAAGCCCTCCAAACGTCCACTTGCAGATTCTCGAAAAAGAGTGTTTCATAGCTGCTCTTTCAAAAGGAAAGTTCAACTCTGGGAGGTGAATACAAACATCACAAAGTAGTTTCCGAGAATGCTTCTGTTTAGTTCTTATGTGAAGATGATCCCGTTTCCAGTGAAACCTTCAAAGAGGTCCACATATGCCCTTGCAGATTCCAAAGAAAGAGGGTTTCAAAACTGCTCCATCAAAAGGATTGTTCAACTCTCTGAGTTGAATGCAGTCATCGCAGAAAACTTTCTGAGAATGCTTCTGTCTAGGTTTGATGTGAAGATATAGACGTTTCAAACGAAGGCTACAAAGTGGTCAAAATATACACTTGCAGATTCTACTACAAGGGTGATGCAAACCTGAACTATCAAAGGAAGGTTCAACTCTGTGAGTTGAATACAAACATCACAAAGAATGTTCTGAGTTTGCTTCCGTTCAGTTATGGGAAGTTGATCCCGTTTCCAACGAAATCCTCAGAGAGGTCCAAATATCCCCTTGCAGATTCTACAAAACGTGTGTTTGGAAACTGCTCCATCATAACGAATGTTCAGCTCTCTGAGTTAAACTCCATCGTCACAAAGAATTTTCTGAGAGTGCTACCGTCTAGTTTTTATATGAAGTTCTTTCCTTTACTACCACAGGCCTCAAAGCGGTCCAAATCTCCACTTGCAGATTCTACAAAAAGAGTGTTTGCAAACTGCTCTATCAAAAGGAATGTTCAACTCTGGGAGTTGAATGCAATCATCACAGAGCAGTTTCTGAGAATGCTTCTATGTGGTTTTTAGGAGAAGATATTTCCCTTTCCACCACAGTCCTCCAAGCCCGCTAAATATCCACTTGCACATTGTAGAAAAAGTGTGTCGAAGCTGCGCTATCAAAGGGAAAGTTCAACTCTGTGAGGTGAATGCAAACATCCCAAAGAAGTTTCTGAGAATGCTTCCGTTTAGCTTTTAGGTGAAGATTATCCCGTTTCCAACGAAATCTTCAAAGAGGTCCAAATATCCCCTTGCGGATCCCACAGAAAGAGTGTTTCGAAACTGCTGTTTCAAAAGGAATCTTCAACTCTGTGAGTTGAATGCAATCATCACAAAGAAGTTTCTGACAATGCTTCTCTCTCGTCTTTCTGTGAAGATAAAGGAAAAGGCTTTCAGGCCTTTTCCACCACAGGCCTGAAAGCGCTCCAAATGTCCACTTGCAGATTCTGCGAAAAGAATATTTCAAAACTGCTCTATGAGAAGCAATGTTAAACTCTGTGGCTCGAACACAAACATCACAAAGCAGTTTCTGAGAATGCTTCAGTTTAGTTTTTCTGTGGAAATATTCCCGTTTCCAAAGAAATCTTCAAGGAGTTCCACGTATCCACTTACAGATTCTACAAAAAGACAGTTTCAAAACTGCTCAATCAAAAGGAGAGTTCAACCGTGTGACTTGAATGCAATCATCACTCAGAAGTTTCTGAGAATGCTTCTTTTTAGTTTTTATGTGAACATATACCCGTTTCGAACGAAGGCCACCCAGTGGTCCAAATATCCACTTGCAGATTCTACAGAAAGAGTGTTTCGAACCTGAACTCTCAAAGGCAGGTTCATCTCTGTTAGTTAAATGCATTCATCATGAAGAACTTTCTCAGAGTGTTTGTGTTTAGTTATGGGAAATTATTCCCGTTTCCAACGAAATCCTCAGAGAGCTCCAAATATCCACCTGCAGATTCTACCAAAAGTGTATTTGGAAACTGCTCCATCAAAAGGCATGTTCAGCTCTGTGAGTGAAACTCCATCATCACAAAGAATATTCTGAGAATGCTTCCGTTTGCCTTTTATATGAAGTTCCTTCCTATACTACCGTAGGCCTCAAAGCAGTCCAAATCTCCATTTGCAGATTCTACAAAAAGAGTGATTCCAATCTGCTCTATCAATAGGATTGTTCAACTCCATGAGTTGAATGCCATCCTCACAAAGTCGTTTCTGAGAATGCTTCTATCTAGTTTTTATGTGAAGATATTTCCTTTTCCACCACAGGCCTCAAAGCCCTCCAAACGTCCACTTGCAGATTCTCGAAAAAGAGTGTTTCATAGCTGCTCTTTCAAAAGGAAAGTTCAACTCTGGGAGTTGAATACAATCATCACAAAGTAGTTTCTGAGAATGCTTCTGTTTAGTTTTTATGTGAAGATGATCCCGTTTCCAGTGAAATCTTCAAAGAGGTCCACATATCCCCTTGCAGATTCCAAAGAAAGAGGGTTTCAAAACTGCTCCATCAGAAGGATTGTTCAACTCTGTGAGTTGAATGCAGTCATCGCAGAAAACTTTCTGAGAATGCTTCTGTCTAGGTTTGATGTGAAGATATAGACGTTTCAAACGAAGGCTACAAAGTGGTCAAAATATACACTTGCAGATTCTACTACAAGGGTGTTGCAAACCTGAACTATCAAAGGAAGGTTCAACTCTGTGAGTTGAATACAAACATCACAAAGAATGTTCTGAGTTTGCTACCGTCTGGTTTTTATATGAAGTTCTTTCCTTCTCTACCACAGGCCTCAAAGCGGTCCAAATCTCCACTTGCAGATTCTACAAAAAGAGTGTTTGCAAACTGCTCTATCAAAAGGAATGTTCAACTCTGGGAGTTGAATGCAATCATCACAGAGCAGTTTCTGAGAATGCTTCTATGTCGTTTTTAGGAGAAGATATTTCCTTTTCCAACACAGTCCTCCAAGCCCGCTAAATAGCCACTTGCACATTGTAGAAAAAGTGTGTCAAAGCTGCGCTATCAAAGGGAAAGTTCAACTCTGTGAGGTGAATGCAAACATCCCAAAGAAGTTTCTGAGAATGCTTCCGTTTAGCTTTTAGGTGAAGATTATCCCGTTTCCAACGAAACCTTCAAAGAGGTCCAAATATCCCCTTGCGGATCCCACAGAAAGAGTGTTTCGAAACTGCTGTTTCAAAAGGAATCTTCAACTCTGTGAGTTGAATGCAATCATCACAAAGAAGTTTCTGACAATGCTTCTCTCTCGTCTTTCTGTGAAGATAAAGGAAAAGGCTTTCAGGCCTTTTCCACCACAGGCCTGAAAGCGCTCCAAATGTCCACTTGCAGATTCTGCCAAAAGAATATTTCAAAACTGCTCTATGAAAAGCAATGTTAAACTCTGCGGCTCAAACACAAACATCACAAAGCGGTTTCTGAGAATGCTTCAGTTTAGTTTTTCTGTGGAAATATTCCCGTTTCCAAAGAAATCTTCAAAGAGGTCCACGTATCCACTTACAGATTCTACAAAAAGACAGTTTCAAAACTGCTCCATCAAAACGAGGGTTCAACTGTGTGACTTGAATGCAATCATCACTCAGAAGTTTCTGAGAATGCTTCTCTTTAGTTTTTACGTGAACATATACCCGTTTCGAACGAAGGCCACCCAGTGGTCCAAATATCCACTTGCAGATTCTACAGAAAGAGTGTTTCGAACCTGAACTCTCAAAGGCAGGTTCATCACTGCGAGTTAAATGCATTCATCATGAAGAACTTTCTCAGCGTGTTTGTGTTTAGTTATGGGAAATTATTCCCGTTTCCAACGAAATCCTCAAAGAGCTCCAAATATCCACCTGCAGATTCTACCAAAAGTGTATTTGGAAACTGCTCCATCAAAAGGCATGTTCAGCTCTGTGAGTGAAACTCCATCATCACAAAGAATATTCTGAGAATGCTTCCGTTTGCCTTTTATCTGAAGTTCCTTCCTATACGACCGTAGGCCTCAAAGCAGTCCAAATCTCCATTTGCAGATTCTACAAAAAGAGTGATTCCAATCTGCTCTATCAATAGGATTGTTCAACTCCATGAGTTGAATGCCATCCTCACAAAGTCGTTTCTGAGAATGCTTTCTATCTAGTTTTTATGTGAAGATATTTCCTTTTCCACCACAGGCCTCAAAGCCCTCCAAACGTCCACTTGCAGATTCTCGAAAAAGAGTGTTTCATAGCTGCTCTTTCAAAAGGAAAGTTCAACTCTGGGAGTTGAATACAAACATCACAAAGTAGTTTCCGAGAATGCTTCTGTTTAGTTTTTATGTGAAGATGATCCCGTTTCCAGTGAAATCTTCAAAGAGGTCCACATATCCCCTTGCAGATTCCAAAGAAAGAGGGTTTCAAAACTGCTCCATCAGAAGGATTGTTCAACTCTGTGAGTTGAATGCAGTCATCGCAGAAAACTTTCTGAGAATGCTTCTGTCTAGGTTTGATGTGAAGATATAGACGTTTCAAACGAAGGCTACAAAGTGGTCAAAATATACACTTGCAGATTCTACTACAAGGGTGTTGCAAACCTGAACTATCAAAGGAAGGTTCAACTCTGTGAGTTGAATACAAACATCACAAAGAATGTTCTGAGTTTGCTTCCGTTCAGTTATGGGAAGTTGATCCCGTTTCCAACGAAATCCTCAGAGAGGTCCAAATATCCCCTTGCAGATTCTACAAAACGTGTGTTTGGAAACTGCTCCATCATAACGAATGTTCAGCTCCCTGAGTTAAACTCCATCGTCACAAAGAATTTTCTGAGAGTGCTACCGTCTGGTTTTTATATGAAGTTCTTTCCTTCACTACCACAGGCCTCAAAGCGGTCCAAATCTCCACTTGCAGATTCTACAAAAGGAGTGTTTGCAAACTGCTCTATCAAAAGGAATGTTCAACTCTGGGAGTTGAATGCAATCATCACAGAGCAGTTTCTGAGAATGCTTCTATGTCGTTTTTAGGAGAAGATATTTCCTTTTCCAACACAGTCCTCCAAGCCCGCTAAATAGCCACTTGCACATTGTAGAAAAAGTGTGTCAAAGCTGCGCTATCAAAGGGAAAGTTCAACTCTGTGAGGTGAATGCAAACATCCCAAAGAAGTTTCTGAGAATGCTTCCGTTTAGCTTTTAGGTGAAGATTATCCCGTTTCCAACGAAACCTTCAAAGAGGTCCAAATATCCCCTTGCGGATCCCACAGAAAGAGTGTTTCGAAACTGCTGTTTCAAAAGGAATCTTCAACTCTGTGAGTTGAATGCAATCATCACAAAGAAGTTTCTGACAATGCTTCTCTCTCGTCTTTCTGTGAAGATAAAGGAAAAGGCTTTCAGGCCTTTTCCACCACAGGCCTGAAAGCGCTCCAAATGTCCACTTGCAGATTCTGCCAAAAGAATATTTCAAAACTGCTCTATGAAAAGCAATGTTAAACTACTGTGGCTCGAACACAAACATCACAAAGCAGTTTCTGAGAATGCTTCAGTTTAGTTTTTCTGTGGAAATATTCCCGTTTCCAAAGAAATCTTCAAAGGGGGTCCACGTATCCACTTACAGATTCTACAAAAAGACAGTTTCAAAACTGCTCCATCAAAAGGAGGGTTCAACTGTGTGACTTGAATGCAATCATCACTCAGAAGTTTCTGAGAATGCTTCTCTTTAGTTTTTACGTGAACATATACCCGTTTCGAACGAAGGCCACCCAGTGGTCCAAATATCCACTCGCAGATTCTACAGAAAGAGTGTTTCGAACCTGAACTCTCAAAGGCAGGTTCATCTCTGCGAGTTAAATGCATTCATCATGAAGAACTTTCTCAGAGTGTTTGTGTTTAGTTATGGGAAATTATTCCCGTTTCCAACGAAATCCTCAGAGAGCTCCAAATATCCACCTGCAGATTCTACCAAAAGTGTATTTGGAAACTGCTCCATCAAAAGGCATGTTCAGCTCTGTGAGTGAAACTCCATCATCACAAAGAATATTCTGAGAATGCTTCCGTTTGCCTTTTATATGAAGTTCCTTCCTATACTACCGTAGGCCTCAAAGCAGTCCAAATCTCCATTTGCAGATTCTACAAAAAGAGTGATTCCAATCTGCTCTATCAATAGGATTGTTCAACTCCATGAGTTGAATGCCATCCTCACAATGTCGTTTCTGAGAATGCTTCTATCTAGTTTTTATGTGAAGATATTTCCTTTTCCACCACAGGCCTCAAAGCCCTCCAAACGTCCACTTTCAGATTCTCGAAAAAGAGTGTTTCATAGCTGCTCTTTCAAAAGGAAAGTTCAACTCTGGGAGTTGAATACAAACATCACAAAGTAGTTTCCGAGAATGCTTCTGTTTAGTTTTTATGTGAAGATGATCCCGTTTCCAGTGAAATCTTCAAAGAGGTCCACATATCCCCTTGCAGATTCCAAAGAAAGAGGGTTTCAAAACTGCTCCATCAGAAGGATTGTTCAACTCTGTGAGTTGAATGCAGTCATCGCAGAAAACTTTCTGAGAATGCTTCTGTCTAGGTTTGACGTGAAGATATAGACGTTTCAAACGAAGGCTACAAAGTGGTCAAAATATACACTTGCAGATTCTACTACAAGGGTGTTGCAAACCTGAACTATCAAAGGAAGGTTCAACTCTGTGAGTTGAATACAAACATCACAAAGAATGTTCTGAGTTTGCTTCCGTTCAGTTATGGGAAGTTGATCCCGTTTCCAACGAAATCCTCAGAGAGGTCCAAATATCCCCTCGCAGATTCTACAAAACGTGTGTTTGGAAACTGCTCCATCATAACGAATGTTCAGCTCCCTGAGTTAAACTCCATCGTCACAAAGAATTTTCTGAGAGTGCTACCGTCTGGTTTTTATATGAAGTTCTTTCCTTCACTACCACAGGCCTCAAAGCGGTCCAAATCTCCACTTGCAGATTCTACAAAAAGAGTGTTTGCAAACTGCTCTATCAAAAGGAATGTTCAACTCTGGGAGTTGAATGCAATCATCACAGAGCAGTTTCTGAGAATGCTTCTATGTCGTTTTTAGGAGAAGATATTTCCTTTTCCAACACAGTCCTCCAAGCCCGCTAAATATCCACTTGCACATTGTAGAAAAAGTGTGTCGAAGCTGCGCTATCAAAGGGAAAGTTCAACTCTGTGAGGTGAATGCAAACATCCCAAAGAAGTTTCTGAGAATGCTTCCGTTTAGCTTTTAGGTGAAGATTATCCCGTTTCCAAAGAAACCTTCAAAGAGGTCCAAATATCCCCTTGCGGATCCCACAGAAAGAGTGTTTCGAAACTGCTGTTTCAAAAGGAATCTTCAACTCTGTGAGTTGAATGCAATCATCACAAAGAAGTTTCTGACAATGCTTCTCTCTCGTCTTTCTGTGAAGATAAAGGAAAAGGCTTTCAGGCCTTTTCCACCACAGGCCTGAAAGCACTCCAAATGTCCACTTGCAGATTCTGCCAAAAGAATATTTCAAAACTGCTCTATGAAAAGCAATGTTAAACTCTGTGGCTCGAACACAAACATCACAAAGCGGTTTCTGAGAATGCTTCAGTTTAGTTTTTCTGTGAAAATATTCCCGTTTCCAAAGAAATCTTCAAAGAGGTCCACGTATCCACTTACAGATTCTACAAAAAGACAGTTTCAAAACTGCTCCATCAAAAGGAGGGTTCAACTGTGTGACTTGAATGCAATCATCACTCAGAAGTTTCTGAGAATGCTTCTCTTTAGTTTTTACGTGAACATATACCCGTTTCGAACGAAGGCCACCCAGTGGTCCAAATATCCACTTGCAGATTCTACACAAAGAGTGTTTCGAACCTGATCTCTCAAAGGCAGGTCCATCTCTGCGAGTTAAATGCATTCATCATGAAGAACTTTCTCAGATTGTTTGTGTTTAGTTATGGGAAATTATTCCCGTTTCCAACGAAATCCTCAGAGAGCTCCAAATATCCACCTGTAGATTCTACCAAAAGTGTATTTGGAAACTGCTCCATCAAAAGGCATGTTCAGCTCTGTGAGTGAAACTCCATCATCACAAAGAATATTCTGAGAATGCTTCCGTTTGCCTTTTATATGAACTTCCTTCCTGTACCACCGTAGGCCTCAAAGCAGTCCAAATCTCCATTTGCAGATTCTACAAAAAGAGTGATTCCAATCTGCTCTATCAATAGGATTGTTCAACTCCATGAGTTGAATGCCATCCTCACAAAGTAGTTTCTGAGAATGCTTCTATCTAGTTTTTATGTGAAGATATTTCCTTTTCCACCACAGGCCTCAAAGCCCTCCAAACGTCCACTTGCAGATTCTCGAAAAAGAGTGTTTCATAGCTGCTCTTTCAAAAGGAAAGTTCAACTCTGGGAGTTGAATACAAACATCACAAAGTAGTTTCCGAGAATGCTTCTGTTTAGTTTTTATGTGAAGATGATCCCGTTTCCAGTGAAATCTTCAAAGAGGTCCACATATCCCCTTGCAGATTCCAAAGAAAGAGGGTTTCAAAACTGCTCCATCAAAAGGATTGTTCAACTCTGTGAGTTGAATGCAGTCATCGCAGAAAACTTTCTGAGAATGCTTCTGTCTAGGTTTGATGTGAAGATATAGATGTTTCAAACGAAGGCTACAAAGTGGTCAAAATATACACTTGCAGATTCTACTACAAGGGTGTTGCAAACCTGAACTATCAAAGGAAGGTTCAACTCTGTGAGTTGAATACAAACATCACAAAGAATGTTCTGAGTTTGCTTCCGTTCAGTTATGGGAAGTTGATCCCGTTTCCAACGAAATCCTCAGAGAGGTCCAAATATCCCCTTGCAGATTCTACAAAACGTGTGTTTGGAAACTGCTCCATCATAACGAATGTTCAGCTCCCTGAGTTAAACTCCATCGTCACAAAGAATTTTCTGAGAGTGCTACCGTCTGGTTTTTATATGAAGTTCTTTCCTTCACTACCACAGGCCTCAAAGCGGTCCAAATCTCCACTTGCAGATTCTACAAAAAGAGTGTTTGCAAACTGCTCTATCAAAAGGAATGTTCAACTCTGGGAGTTGAATGCAATCATCACAGAGCAGTTTCTGAGAATGCTTCTATGTCGTTTTTAGGAGAAGATATTTCCTTTTCCAACACTGTCCTCCAAGTCCGCTAAATAGCCACTTGCACATTGTAGAAAAAGTGTGTCAAAGCTGCGCTATCAAAGGGAAAGTTCAACTCTGTGAGGTGAATGCAAACATCCCAAAGAAGTTTCTGAGAATGCTTCCGTTTAGCTTTTAGGTGAAGATTATCCCGTTTCCAACGAAACCTTCAAAGAGGTCCAAATATCCCCTTGCGGATCCCACAGAAAGAGTGTTTCGAAACTGCTGTTTCAAAAGGAATCTTCAACTCTGTGAGTTGAATGCAATCATCACAAAGAAGTTTCTGACAATGCTTCTCTCTCGTCTTTCTGTGAAGATAAAGGAAAAGGCTTTCAGGCCTTTTCCACCACAGGCCTGAAAGCGCTCCAAATGTCCACTTGCAGATTCTGCGAAAAGAATATTTCAAAACTGCTCTATGAAAAGCAATGTTAAACTCTGTGGCTGGAACACAAACATCACAAAGCGGTTTCTGAGAATGTTTCAGTTTAGTTTTTCTGTGGAAATATTCCCGTTTCCAAAGAAATCTTCAAAGAGGTCCACGTATCCACTTACAGATTCTACAAAAAGACAGTTTCAAAACTGCTCCA
Organism: Homo sapiens; assembly: GCF_000001405.40. Taxonomy (NCBI): domain Eukaryota; kingdom Metazoa; phylum Chordata; class Mammalia; order Primates; family Hominidae; genus Homo; species Homo sapiens. The sequence goes on along the minus strand of NC_000023.11, from coordinate 58,612,321 downwards.
TCAAAAGGAGGGTTCAACTGTGTGACTTGAATGCAATCATCACTCAGAAGTTTCTGAGAATGCTTCTCTTTAGTTTTTACGTGAACATATACCCGTTTCGAACGAAGGCCACCCAGTGGTCCAAATATCCACTTGCAGATTATACAGAAAGAGTGTTTCGAACCTGAACTCTCAAAGGCAGGTTCATCTCTGCGAGTTAAATGCATTCATCATGAAGAACTTTCTCAGAGTGTTTGTGTTTAGTTATGGGAAATTATTCCCGTTTCCAACGAAATCCTCAGAGAGCTCCAAATATCCACCTGCAGATTCTACCAAAAGTGTATTTGGAAACTGCTCCATCAAAAGGCATGTTCAGCTCTGTCAGTGAAACTCCATCATCACAAAGAATATTCTGAGAATGCTTCCGTTTGCCTTTTATATGAAGTTCCTTCCTGTACTACCGTAGGCCTCAAAGCAGTCCAAATCTCCATTTGCAGATTCTACAAAAAGAGTGATTCCAATCTGCTCTATCAATAGGATTGTTCAACTCCATGAGTTGAATGCCATCCTCACAAAGTCGTTTCTGAGAATGCTTCTATCTAGTTTTTATGTGAAGATATTTCCTTTTCCACCACAGGCCTCAAAGCCCTCCAAACGTCCACTTGCAGATTCTCGAAAAAGAGTGTTTCATAGCTGCTCTTTCAAAAGGAAAGTTCAACTCTGGGAGTTGAATACAAACATCACAAAGTAGTTTCCGAGAATGCTTCTGTTTAGTTTTTATGTGAAGATGATCCCGTTTCCAGTGAAATCTTCAAAGAGGTCCACATATCCCCTTGCAGATTCCAAAGAAAGAGGGTTTCAAAACTGCTCCATCAGAAGGATTGTTCAACTCTGTGAGTTGAATGCAGTCATCGCAGAAAACTTTCTGAGAATGCTTCTGTCTAGGTTTGATGTGAAGATATAGATGTTTCAAACGAAGGCTACAAAGTGGTCAAAATATACACTTGCAGATTCTACTACAAGGGTGTTGCAAACCTGAACTATCAAAGGAAGGTTCAACTCTGTGAGTTGAATACAAACATCACAAAGAATGTTCTGAGTTTGCTTCCGTTCAGTTATGGGAAGTTGATCCCGTTTCCAACGAAATCCTCAGAGAGGTCCAAATATCCCCTTGCAGATTCTACAAAACGTGTGTTTGGAATCTGCTCCATCGTAACGAATGTTCAGCTCCCTGAGTTAAACTCCATCGTCACAAAGAATTTTCTGAGAGTGCTACCGTCTGGTTTTTATATGAAGTTCTTTCCTTCACTACCACAGGCCTCAAAGCGGTCCAAATCTCCACTTGCAGATTCTACAAAAAGAGTGTTTGCAAACTGCTCTATCAAAAGGAATGTTCAACTCTGGGAGTTGAATGCAATCATCACAGAGCAGTTTCTGAGAATCCTTCTATGTCGTTTTTAGGAGAAGATATTTCCTTTTCCAACACAGTCCTCCAAGCCCGCTAAATAGCCACTTGCACATTGTAGAAAAAGTGTGTCAAAGCTGCGCTATCAAAGGGAAAGTTCAACTCTGTGAGGTGAATGCAAACATCCCAAAGAAGTTTCTGAGAATGCTTCCGTTTAGCTTTTAGGTGAAGATTATCCCGTTTCCAACGAAACCTTCAAAGAGGTCCAAATATCCCCTTGCGGATCCCACAGAAAGAGTGTTTCGAAACTGCTGTTTCAAAAGGAATCTTCAACTCTGTGAGTTGAATGCAATCATCACAAAGAAGTTTCTGACAATGCTTCTCTCTCGTCTTTCTGTGAAGATAAAGGAAAAGGCTTTCAGGCCTTTTCCACCACAGGCCTGAAAGCGCTCCAAATGTCCACTTGCAGATTCTGCCAAAAGAATATTTCAAAACTGCTCTATGAAAAGCAATGTTAAACTCTGTGGCTCGAACACAAACATCACAAAGCAGTTTCTGAGAATGCTTCAGTTTAGTTTTTCTGTGGAAATATTCCCGTTTCCAAAGAAATCTTCAAAGAGGTCCACGTATCCACTTACAGATTCTACAAAAAGACAGTTTCAAAACTGCTCCATCAAAAGGAGGGTTCAACTGTGTGACTTGAATGCAATCATCACTCAGAAGTTTCTGAGAATGCTTCTCTTTAGTTTTTACGTGAAGATATACCCGTTTCGAACGAAGGCCAGCCAGTGGTCCAAATATCCACTTGCAGATTCTACAGAAAGAGTGTTTCGAACATGAACTCTCAAAGGCAGGTTCATCTCTGCGAGTTAAATGCATTCATCATGAAGAACTTTCTCAGAGTGTTTGTGTTTAGTTATGGGAAATTATTCCCGTTTCCAACGAAATCCTCAGAGAGGTCCAAATATCCACCTGCAGATTCTACCAAAAGTGTATTTGGAAACTGCTCCATCAAAAGGCATGTTCAGCTCTGTGAGTGAAACTCCATCATCACAAAGAATATTCTGAGAATGCTTCCGTTTGCCTTTTATATGAAGTTCCTTCCTATACGACCGGAGGCCTCAAAGCAGTCCAAATCTCCATTTGCAGATTCTACAAAAAGAGTGATTCCAATCTGCTCTATCAATAGGATTGTTCAACTCCATGAGTTGAATGCCATCCTCACAAAGTCGTTTCTGAGAATGCTTCTATCTAGTTTTTATGTGAAGATATTTCCTTTTCCACCACAGGCCTCAAAGCCCTCCAAACGTCCACTTGCAGATTCTCGAAAAAGAGTGTTTCATAGCTGCTCTTTCAAAAGGAAAGTTCAACTCTGGGAGTTGAATACAAACATCACAAAGTAGTTTCCGAGAATGCTTCTGTTTAGTTTTTATGTGAAGATGATCCCGTTTCCAGTGAAATCTTCAAAGAGGTCCACATATCCCCTTGCAGATTCCAAAGAAAGAGGGTTTCAAAACTGCTCCATCAGAAGGATTGTTCAACTCTGTGAGTTGAATGCAGTCATCGCAGAAAACTTTCTGAGAATGCTTCTGTCTAGGTTTGATGTGAAGATATAGACGTTTCAAACGAAGGCTACAAAGTGGTCAAAATATACACTTGCAGATTCTACTACAAGGGTGTTGCAAACCTGAACTATCAAAGGAAGGTTCAACTCTGTGAGTTGAATACAAACATCACAAAGAATGTTCTGAGTTTGCTTCCGTTCAGTTATGGGAAGTTGATCCCATTTCCAACGAAATCCTCAGAGAGGTCCAAATATCCCTTTGCAGATTCTACAAAATGTGTGTTTGGAAACTGCTCCATCATAACGAATGTTCAGCTCTCTGAGTTAAACTCTATCGTCACAAAGAATTTTACTGAGAGTGCTACCGTCTGGTTTTTATATGAAGTTCTTTCCTTCACTACCACAGGCCTCAAAGCGGTCCAAATCTCCACTTGCAGATTCTACAAAAAGAGTGTTTGCAAACTGCTCTATCAAAAGGAATGTTCAACTCTGGGAGTTGAATGCAATCATCACAGAGCAGTTTCTGAGAATGCTTCTATGTCGTTTTTAGGAGAAGATATTTCGTTTTCCAACACAGTCCTCCAAGCCCGCTAAATAGCCACTTGCACATTGTAGAAAAAGTGTGTCAAAGCTGCGCTATCAAAGGGAAAGTTCAACTCTGTGAGGTGAATGCAAACATCCCAAAGAAGTTTCTGAGAATGTTTCCGTTTAGCTTTTAGGTGAAGATTATCCCGTTTCCAACGAAACCTTCAAAGAGGTCCAAATATCCCCTTGCGGATCCCACAGAAAGAGTGTTTCGAAACTGCTGTTTCAAAAGGAATCTTCAACTCTGTGAGTTGAATGCAATCATCACAAAGAAGTTTCTGACAATGCTTCTCTCTCGTCTTTCTGTGAAGATAAAGGAAAAGGCTTTCAGGCCTTTTCCACCACAGGCCTGAAAGCGCTCCAAATGTCCACTTGTAGATTCTGCCAAAAGAATATTTCAAAACTGCTCTATGAAAAGCAATGTTAAACTCTGTGGCTCGAACACAAACATCACAAAGCAGTTTCTGAGAATGCTTCAGTTTAGTTTTTCTGTGGAAATATTCCCGTTTCCAAAGATATCTTCAAAGAGGTCCACGTACCCGCTTACAGATTCTACAAAAAGACAGTTTCAAAACTGCTCAATCAGAAGGAGGGTTCAACCGTGTGACTTGAATGCAATCATCACGCAGAAGTTTCTGAGAATGCTTCTCTTTAGTTTTTACGTGAACATATACCAGTTTCGAACGAAGGCCACCCAGTGGTCCAAATATCCACTTGCAGATTCTACAGAAAGAGTGTTTCGAACCTGAACTCTCAAAGGCAGGTTCATCTCTGCGAGTTCAATGCATTCATCATGAAGAACTTTCTCAGAGTGTTTGTGTTTAGTTATGGGAAATTATTCCCGTTTCCAACGAAATCCTCAGAGAGCTCCAAATATCCACCTGCAGATTCTACCAAAAGTGTATTTGGAAACTGCTCCATCAAAAGGCATGTTCAGCTCTGTGAGTGAAACTCCATCATCACAAAGAATATTCTGAGAATGCTTCCGTTTGCCTTTTATATGAAGTTCCTTCCTATACGACCGTAGGCCTCAAAGCAGTCCAAATCTCCATTTGCAGATTCTACAAAAAGAGTGATTCCAATCTGCTCTATCAATAGGATTGTTCAACTCCATGAGTTGAAAGCCATCCTCACGAAGTAGTTTCTGAGAATGCTTCTATCTAGTTTTTATGTGAAGATATTTCCTTTTCCACCACAGGCCTCAAAGCCCTCCAAACGTCCACTTGCAGATTCTCGAAAAAGAGTGTTTCATAGCTGCTCTTTCAAAAGGAAAGTTCAACTCTGGGAGTTGAATACAAACATCACAAAGTAGTTTCCGAGAATGCTTCTGTTTAGTTTTTATGTGAAGATGATCCCGTTTCCAGTGAAATCTTCAAAGAGGTCCACATATCCCCTTGCAGATTCCAAAGAAAGAGGGTATCAAAACTGCTCCATCAGAAGGATTGTTCAACTCTGTGAGTTGAATGCAGTCATCGCAGAAAACTTTCTGAGAATGCTTCTGTCTAGGTTTGATGTGAAGATATAGACGTTTCAAACGAAGGCTACAAAGTGGTCAAAATATACACTTGCAGATTCTACTACAAGGGTGTTGCAAACCTGAACTATCAAAGGAAGGTTCAACTCTGTGAATTGAATACAAACATCACAAAGAATGTTCTGAGTTTGCTTCCGTTCAGTTATGGGAAGTTGATCCCGTTTCCAACGAAATCCTCAGAGAGGTCCAAATATCCCCTCGCAGATTCTACAAAACATGTGTTTGGAAACTGCTCCATCATAACGAATGTTCAGCTCCCTGAGTTAAACTCCATCGTCACAAAGAATTTTCTGAGAGTGCTACCGTCTGGTTTTTATATGAAGTTCTTTCCTTCACTACCACAGGCCTCAAAGCGGTCCAAATCTCCACTTGCAGATTCTACAAAAAGAGTGTTTGCAAACTGCTCTATCAAAAGGAATGTTCAACTCTGGGAGTTGAATGCAATCATCACAGAGCAGTTTCTGAGAATGCTTCTATGTCGTTTTTAGAAGATATTTCCTTTTCCAACACAGTCCTCCAAGCCCGCTAAATAGCCACTTGCACATTGTAGAAAAAGTGTGTCAAAGCTGCGCTATCAAAGGGAAAGTTCAACTCTGTGAGGTGAATGCAAACATCCCAAAGAAGTTTCTGAGAATGCTTCCGTTTAGCTTTTAGGTGAAGATTATCCCGTTTCCAACGAAACCTTCAAAGAGGTCCAAATATCCCCTTGCGGATCCCACAGAAAGAGTGTTTCGAAACTGCTGTTTCAAAAGGAATCTTCAACTCTGTGAGTTGAATGCAATCATCACAAAGAAGTTTCTGACAATGCTTCTCTCTCGTCTTTCTGTGAAGATAAAGGAAAAGGCTTTCAGGCCTTTGCCACCACAGGCCTGAAAGCGCTCCAAATGTCCACTTGCAGATTCTGCCAAAAGAATATTTCAAAACTGCTCTATGAAAAGCAATGTTAAACTCTGTCGCTCGAACACAAACATCACAAAGCGGTTTCTGAGAATGCTTCAGTTTAGTTTTTCTGTGGAAATATTCCCGTTTCCAAAGAAATCTTCAAAGAGGTCCACGCATACACTTACAGATTCTACAAAAAGACAGTTTCAAAACTGCTCAATCAAAAGGAGGGTTCAACTGTGTGACTTGAATGCAATCATCACTCAGAAGTTTCTGAGAACGCTTCTCTTTAGTTTTTACGTGAACATATACCCGTTTCGAACGAAGGCCAGCCAGTGGTCCAAATATCCACTTGCAGATTCTACAGAAAGAGTGTTTCGAACCTGAACTCTCAAAGGCAGGTTCATCTCTGCGAGTTAAATGCATTCATCATGAAGAACTTTCTCAGCGTGTTTGTGTTTAGTTATGGGAAATTATTCCCGTTTCCAACGAAATCTTCCGAGAGCTCCAAATATCCACCTGCAGATTCTACCAAAAGTGTATTTGGAAACTGCTCCATCAAAAGGCACGTTCAGCTCTGTGAGTGAAACTCCATCATCACAAAGAATATTCTGAGAATGCTTCCGTTTGCCTTTTATATGAAGTTCCTTCCTATACTACCGTAGGCCCCAAAGCAGTCCAAATCTCCATTTGCAGATTCTACAAAAAGAGTGATTCCAATCTGCTCTATCAATGGGATTGTTCAACTCCATGAGTTGAATGCCATCCTCACAAAGTCGTTTCTGAGAATGCT